>NW_016107303.1:0-210253 GCF_000001405.40 Homo sapiens | reverse complement strand
ATCATACTGAATGAGTAAAAGCTGGAAGAAGTTCCCTTCATAAGTGAAACAAGACAAGAATGCCCACTCTCACCATCCTATTCAACATAGTACTTGAAGTCCTAGACAGAGCCATCAGGAAAGAGAAAGAATTATAAGGCATCCAAGTAAGAAGAGAGTAGCAGAGAGAGGTAGTCAAATTACCTCTGTTTGAAGATGAGATAATTTCTATACCTAGAAACCCCATAGTCTCTGCCCAAAGGCTCCTACATCTGAGAAACAAACTTCAGCACAGTTTAAGGGCAGAAAGTCAATGTACAGGCTGGGTGTGGTGTCTCAGCCTGAAATCTAGCACTTTGGGAGGGCGAAGCGGGTGGATCACCTGAGGTCTGGAGTTCGAGACCAGCCTGGCCAACATGGCGAAACCCTGTCTCTACTAGAAACACAAATATAGCCGGACGGGGTGGTACGCAACTGTAGTCCCAGCTGCTTGGGAGGCTGAGTCAGGAGAACCGCTTGAACCTGGGAGGCAGAGGTTGCAGTGAGCGGAGATCACGCCATTGCACCTCAGCTTGGGCAACAACAGTGAAACTGCATCTCAAAAAAAAAACCAAAACAAATTTAATTAATGAGGAAAAGGGTATTTGTGGTGTCCATCATGATGTTTTCATATAGGTACACATTGTGGAATGGATGAAACAACCTCTTTATCATATTTATTTTTTCACATACTTGTATGTTTTGTGTGTGTGGTGAGAACATGTAAAATCTAATCTCTTAGTAATGTTCAATACACCATATGTTGCTATTAACTGGAGTCACCAAGACATACAATAGATCTCTTGAACCGATTTCTTCTAACTGAAATTTTGCATCCTTTGACCAACATCTCTTCAATCTCTCTCCATCCCAGGTTCTTTCGACGACCATTTTACTGTTCCTCTAGGTTCCACTTCTTACACTCCACACATGAGATCATGTGGCATTTGTCTTTCTGTGCCTGGATTGTTTCCCTTAACATAATGTCCTCTAAGTTTTTTCACATTGTCACAAATGAGAGGACTTCCTTCTTTGTTGTAAAGGTTGTATAGTACTTCATTACGTTCCTATCGTATACCACGTTTTCTTTGTCCATGCACCCATAGATGGGCAGTAAGGGTGATTCCACATCTTGGCTGTTATGAATAATGCGGCTGTAAACATGGGAATGCAGATATCTCTTCAACATACTGATTCCACTTCCTTTGGATACATGCGCAGTAGTTGGATTGCAGACACATATGGGAATTCTATGTTTAATTTTTTCAGGAACTTCCAGACTGTTTTCCATAATGGTTGTGCTAATTTACATTCCCATCAACTGCATACAAATGTTCCCTTTTCTCCACATCCTCGTTAACCCTTGTTATTTTTTATGTTTTTGATAATGGTCTTTTTTTTTTTTTTTTTTTGAGACTCAGTCTTGCTCTGTCACCCAGGCTGGAGTGCAGTGGCACAATCTCGGTGTACTGCAACCTCTGCCTCCTGGGTTCAAGCGATTCCCCTGCCTCAGTCTCCAGAGTAGCTGGGACTACAAGTGTGCGCCACCAAACTCTGCTAATTTTTGTATTTTTAGTAGGGATGGGGTTTCACCATATTGGCCAGGCTGGTTTCGAACTGCTGACCTCAGGTAATCTCCCTGCCTCGGCCTCCCAAAGTGCCTGAATTACAGGCATGAGCCACCATGCCCAGACTGTTAATGGTCATTCTAAGAGGTGTGAGGTGATATCTCATTCTAGTTTTAATTTTTATTTAGCTGATGTTTAGTAATGCTAATCATTTTTTCATATACCTTTTGGTGATTTGTCTTATTCTTAGAAATGTTTATTCAGATACTTTGCCCATTTTTTTAAGTTGGGTTATTTGATTTCTTACCATTGAGTTGTTTGAGTTTCTTATATATTTTGGATATTAATTCCTTATTAGATGTATGGGTGCAAATATATTCTCCCATTCCATAGGTTGTCTTTCCACTTGTTGAGTTTTTTTTTTCTTTGCAGAAACTTTCAATTTGATATAATGTTATTTGTCTACTTTTGCTTTTGTTGCCTGGGCCTTTGGGTTAATATCCAAAATGGTTTTGCCCAAGCCAGTGGAGTTTTCCCTTGATTTCTTTTAGTAGTTTTTTTTTTTTTTTTAAGATGGAGTCTCACTGTGTTGCCCCGGCTGGAGTGCAGTGGTGCGATCTCGGCTCACTGCAACCTCTACCTCCTGGGTTCAAGTGATTCTCCTGTCTCAACCTCCCGAGTAGCTGAGATTACAGGCACCCACAACCACACCCAGCTGTTTTTGTATTTTTAGTAGAGGCGGGATTTCACCATGTTGGCCATGCTGGTCTTGGAATCCTGACCTTAGGTGATCTGCCCACCTTGGCCTCCCAAATTGCTGGGATTATAGTCTTTCATCTTACATTTAAGTCATTAATCTATCTTGAGTTGACTTTGTATGTTTTGTGAGGCAAATGTCCACTTCCATTCTTCTGCATGTGGACATGCAGTCTCCCAATCCCATTTATTAAAGAGACTGTTCCTTCTCCATTGTGTGTTCTTGACACATCCCAAAAATTGTTTGACCCTAAATGCATGCATTTTTTTCCTGGGCTATGAATCACTTCCATTGGTCTATGTGTCTGTTTTTATGCAAGTACTGTGTTGTTTTAATTACTGTAATTTTGTAATGTAGTTTGTGTTTAGGTAATGTGATGCTTCCAACTTTGTTCCTTTCCCTCTAGATGGCTTTGGTTATTTGAGATCTTTTGTGGTTCCACATGAATTTTAGGACTGTTTTTTCTATTTCTGTAAAAAAAATGTCATTGGATTTTTGATAATGGTTGCATTGAATCACTTTGGATAGAATGGACATTTTAACAACATTAATCCTTCTGATCCGTGAACATGGAATATCTTTCGATTTATTTGTTTATTTCTTGAGTTTTTTCATCAATGTTTTATAGCTTTTGCATACAGATCTTTCTACTCCTTGGGTGAATTTATTCCTGCATGTTTTGTTTTCTGTAGTTATTGCAAATGGGCTTATTTTCTTGTAAACTTTTTTGGATAGTTTGTTGTTAATGTATAGAAACTTTGTTGTTGTTGTTGTTGTTGTTTTGATGATACCCATCCTAAGGGGTATGAAATGGCATCTGGTGTAGTTTTAGTTAGTATTTCCCTAATGATTCGTGATGCTGAATATCTTTTCATGCGTATGTTCTTTGGAGAAATGTCTGTTTCAGTACTTTGCCCATTTTTGAATTGAGTTTATTGTGATTGAGTTTTAGGAGTTGTCTGTATATTCTGGATGTTAATCCCTTACAGGTGGTGTGGTTTGAAAACATTTTCTCCCATTCTGTGGGTTGTCTTTTTACTTTGATAATATCGTCTTAAAAGTTCTTTTTCCTTGCCATGTGAAGTAACTGATGTTGTCTTTTGAGTCACAATATTTCAAAATTTTCATAAAGTCTAACTTGTTTATTTTTTCTGTAGTAGCCTGTGCCGTTGTTGTCACATCTAAAGAATCACTGCCAAATCCGATGTTGTGAAGTTTTCCTTTGTGTTTTCTTCTAAGACTTTAATTAAATTTTATTTGTCAATATTTAGGACTGACAAAAGCTTTTTAACATTCCTGGCACCATCTCAGTTATTGATCTACTCCCAAGATGGATCATTTCAATTAAAACATGTAAAGCATGACCTCACCTGAATGTGTTTGAACTTGCTCTTCTCCCTTTCAAATCGACTCCCTCACTTACATAGTTTGTGTTCAAATGTCAACAAATAAAACATAAAAAGAAATCAATCTTTTCATAGACCCTTTATCTAAAATAGAATAGTAGGTGCCATGACATTTCATCCTTTCATCTTGAATTATTTACTTTTCTACATGAACCAATCCATTCTTCTGTGTGCATGTGTGTGTGTGTGTGTGTGTGTAGTTTATCTGTCTACATATAATGTAAACACCAAAAAATAACAGACATTTAGTAATTTTCAAATGAGACTTCAGGAATTAACAATGGCTTGCCATTTTTAGTGTGTTATTATTATTATATTTAGATGAACAGAATTGCCTCAGGAACATGGCCAGGGGCTCATAGTCCAGGAGAACTGTGGCCTGACTCAGGTACATTTTACCTGCAATAACAGCAATTGCAGGTCACTGGAGTCCATCACAATTGGCTGGAGACAAATGTAAGACAAGAATATTTGCAGTTTCCCCAGACTGACACAGTTGCAGGTTCCCCGAAGTAATGAGTCCTGAGACACCTCCAACAAGAGCTAGAAAAGGTATCACTTCAAGAGGAGTTGCAGCCTACTCATTTTAGACAAATGGAGCAAAATTACAGTATCACATCTTTTCCTTTCTCCTTCATAGAATCTGGATGAACAGAACAGAAAGAGTTAATGGAATATAAGATTCCAATTCTCTGGCATGAGAAAATAGACAAGGAAAGGAAGATTCATCTTCATCACATCTCAGACATGCTTGGACACAGGGTCCAAGCACAAAAGAGAAACACATACTTCTTCCCATCCACACTGGGATCCAGGGTCTTCTCCCTCCTGTCAGGCCAGAACTGAGTCTCCACTCCCCAATTTAGTTCCCAGAGATGAAGCCCAATTTTCCTCTGTCTCAAGCTTTGAAGGCCAGCTTTAGCGTGTTCACCATGGATGAATGAAGGTGAGGTCAGAGGTTTGGGAAATGGTCAAGAATGAGGTGAGAAGAGAGCTGTGGAGGCATGGCCCCGGGGAGCTTGGTACCCCCCCATATCCAGAGCCTGTCTGGTCCAGGAGAGTTCCCAACCCTGTGAGCACCAACTCCGGATATTCTGGGCAGTGACCCGAGGGACAGCCTCTTATGAATACAGGCTGTTTTCCTCCAGTGTCTGCTGTGAAACCAGGATGTACAACATGGCCGTGTTCAACCCAACAATGGACTTAGGATTTTGCTGTACGCCAAAACTCAGTGTCCAACTTCCACTCTGTTTAGCTGGAAAAAGAAGGGGTTTGTTCCCATACATCTCACTCCTGTGTTCCTCTTTCAGTCTCAAAGCTCAGATGAAAACAATGAGTGTCACTTATTGTCAATCCTCTTCCCTGCCTTTTCCACACTCATCAGTATTACCGTTTACATTGAGACTAAAGATGGCCAATCACCACTTTTCTTCGGAAAAATCAACCTGATGTTGTACCTACTTTTTTAGAGGTGGAATCAACCTACCCTAAGATGCCAACTACATTTTACTGAATGGACTTTTGTGGATCCCCTCGATGTATATAGTGGCACCTTGAGGTATCATCCCTGTCTTTAGCAAATGAATATTATCCCAAGGACAATATTTCATCACAATTATTCGGGATGGACGAGTGGATATTGTGGTAGCAAGAACATTACTAAAAGTCACAGCTGATACAACACACTTGAAACCCATCTGGCCAATCTCCCACAGACAGAATGTCGCGCCATTCACTCCAGCCAGCTTCAGTCATGTTTCTTCCATTTCCACCTGTGGCCCCTCATGTCTCCACCAGGTCTTAGCCAGCATTGCCAAAAGAGCCAGGAAGACCAGACCAGCCACAACAATCCTGATGGAACTCTCCACAGTATAGTTCTGGAGAACAGGGGCTGGAGGGTGGGGGTAAGATCAGAGACCTTTCCATGTGGGCCAGGCCCCTCTCTCCCCAGAAGCTCTGAAATGGAGCTATTTCCCCATCTCACCTTCATAAAATTCTTCCTGTCCAGAACCCCTCTTCTCCCTATATCATCATGAGCACCTTCAGAAGTCTTTTGCCACAAAAAGAAATTTCTTTTGAAGATATACATTTTTTTGTACATTTCAAAAATGTTCCCAAACTAATTCTCCAAAGCAATAAATGTTTGTGTGTATTGCTGGGTAGGTTATGCATACAAGGAAAGGAAGCATAGTGAGTCTGATTTGGCAGAGGAAACATATGTGGAAATTATATCATTTACTCTCTTTACAAAATTAAGTACAAAATTGAAAACACTGGTAAGAAAGAATGAGCTATAGAGAAAGAAAACATCTGAGATGCTTGTTTCCAAGATGGCTGACTAAATGCTTTTCTGGCATGTCTCATCCACTTAGAAGAACGAGCAGAATCCAGAACAAAAACCATATGATCATCTCAATAGACATAAAGAAAAGCATCTGAAAAGAAATTCAACATCCTTACCTGATGAAAACCCTCAAAAACTTAGGCATAGAAAGAACATACCTCAAAATAATAAAAGCCATAGATGACATATCTAGAGTCAACATCATACTGAACAGGAAAAGTTAAAAGCACTCCTCTGAGAACTGGCACAAGACAAGGACACGGACATCCACCACTTCCTATCAACATAGTACTGGAAGCCTTGTCAGAGCTATTGGGCAACAGGAAGAAGTAAAAATCCAAATTAGAAAAGAGGAAGTAAAATTATTTTTATTTCTGATGCTATGATCTTAAATCTAGAAAATCCTAAAGACCCTGCCAAAAATTCTTATGATTGATAAATGAACTAAGTAAAGTTTCAGAATACAAAATCAATATGTAAAAGCCGGTAGCATTTCTCTACACCTATAATGATCTAGCTGAGAACCAAATCAAGAAGGCAATGCCGTTTACAATAGATACGCAAAATTAAAACACTCAGGAATACATTTAACCAAGGTGGTGAAAGATCTGTACCAGGAAAGGTGTAAGACACCAATGAAAGCAATTATAGATAATACAAAAAAAAAAAAGAAAAAAAATCCCACGCTCATGGATCATAAGAATTAATATTGTTAAAATGACCATACTGCCTAAAGCAATCTACAGATTCAGTGCAATTCTTATATGAAAATAGTAACACCAGTTTTCACAGAATTAGAAAAAGCAATCCTAAAATTCATACAGAACCAAAAAAGATCCTAATAGAGAAAGCAATTCTAGGTGAATGTAGAAACCTGGAGGCATCACGCTATCTGACTTCAAACTATGCTCTAAGGCTATAGTAACTTAAATAGCACAGTGCTGGTATAGACACAGAAACAGAGATCAATAGACCAGAATAGAGAGCCCAGAAATACAGCCTCATATCTACAGTGAATAATCATTGACGACGTTAACAAAACATACCCTGGAGAAAGATTTCCTTTTCAATAAAAGGTGCTGGGAAAACTAAATAGCCATATGCAGAAGAATAAAACTGGACCTGTATCTGTAATCATACACATAAATTAACTTAAGGTAATTAGCAGCTTAAATGTAAATCCAGAACTATAAAATCACCGGTGGAAACCCAAAGAGAAACTCTTCTGGGCATTGGTCTGGGCAAAGAATTCATCACTAAGACCTCAAAAGCACAGGCAATAAAAATAAAACTAGACCAATGGGACTTAATAAACGAAAGAGCTTCTGCCAAGCAAAGGAAATAGTAGCAGGGTGAACAGACAACCCACAGAATGAATGGAAATGTTTGCAAACTATGCACCCAACAGGGGACTAACATCCAGAATTTCTAGGCAACTCAAACAACTAAACATAACCCCTCAAATAATAGCATTAAAAAGTGGGCAAAGGGATATACATAGACATTTTTCAAAAGAAGACATACGAATGGCCAAACAGCGTATGAACATCACTAATCATCAGAGAAATGCAAATTGAAACCACAATGAGATATCATCTTACAGTAGTCAGAATGGCTATTACTAAAAATGCTGGTGGGGAGTGGTGGCTCACGCTTGTAATCCCAGCACTTTGGGAAGCTGAGGCGGGTGGATCATGAGGTCAGGAGTTTGAGACCAGCCTGACCAACATAGTGAAACCCCATCTCTACTAAATATACAAAAGATTAGCTGGGCATGGTGGTGTGGTTCTGTAATCCCAGCTACTCAGGAGGTTGAGGCAGGAGAATCATTTGAACCTGGTTGGTGGAGGTTGCAGCGCGTGGAGATGGCGGCACTGCACTCCAGCCTGGGTGACAGTGGAAGACTCCATCTCAAAAAGAAAAAAAGAAAAAGTGAAACATATAACAGGTGTTGGCAAGGATGCAGAGAAAAGGAAACTCTTATACACTGTTGGCCGGTATGTAAATTAGTATAGCCTCTATGGAAGACAGTATGGAAATTTGGCAGAGAACCAAAAATAGAAGCACCATTCGATCTAGGGGTCCCGCTGCTGGGTATCTACTCAAAAAATATCTGCACCTGTATGTTTATTGCAGCACTGTTTGCAATAGCAAAGATATGAAATCAATCTAAGTGTCTGTGAATGAATGATTGGATTAAAAAAAGGATGCGTGTATACACAACGAAATACTATTTGGTCATAAAAATAAAACCATGTCTTTTGCAGCAACATAGATGGAGCTGGACGCCATTATTTTACATAAAACCACTCAGAAAGACAAATACCACATCTTCTCACTCTACATGGGAGGGGAGTAATGTGTACATATGGACGTAGAGTGTGGAATGACGGACAGCGGAGGCTAGAAGGCTGGAGGGTGGCGGGACGTGGGTGAGTGATGAGAATTTGCTTAATGAGTACAATGTACGGTATTTGGGTGATGGATATAGTAAAAGTCCTGACTTCACTACTCTGCAACATACTCATGTCACAAAATTACAAGTGTACCTCATAAATTTATACTAATAGAAAAGAAAGTCTGTACACAGTAATCAATTGTGATATGTAGATAAAGTCAATATTAAATTTAAACCAGAATAACTAGTTAAAATGTTGTGTACACAACAGTGAAGAGAGTATTTATCCTCTATGACAGAGGAAACCATCAATATTAATGCACAGAAAAAGCAAATAACTGAAACAAGAAAGAGCAGTTTTGTGACAGGGTAAAAATTGACAACAGTTTTAGAATGCTCCTAACTTGAGTTCCAAAAAGAAAGAACGAGAAAACAGGTCAGAAGCAATCTTTAAAGAGGCAATTGTTGATTATTTGGAGGAAGTAGACACATCCATCAATCCACAGGTTCAAGAAATCCAGTGAATGCCAGGCAGAATGAAGTAAACACACCTCACGTTCAACATTACAGAAAAGCAGCATAAAAGCACAACCAACCCTTAAAATTAGCCAGAGGAAAAGGATCAGCTGGTAAGGATTTATAGGGAGCCAAGCATTGTCTTCCCCACAGAAAAAAGGAAAACATAAGCCAGTAGAATAGCATCTTTACCCAGCTAAGATACCGTCGCCAGCCACCGACAATTCCTTACATAGTACAGTTACTGTCCAAGATCAACGCAGGAAAGAAACAGAACTGAAAGACAAAAGGGCAAAGAAAGCTTTTCTCACTGACCCTAAAGGAAATTCTGATGACCGTGCCTCAAAGATAAAGAAAGTGAAACCAGATGGGGTGTCGAAGATTCTGACAATAACTAAGAGCAGAGGAAGAACTAAAAATATGGCTATGCCAAAAATGAATATGGACCATACGATAGTGTATGAAAACATGCCCCTGTGTAATTTCTGAAAAAGATAGAATTATGTATACCACAAAACAAAACATCATATAAGTAAATACAAACATATGTACTAAATATGCTCTAAAATCCTGTTCTTACACAGGAAGAGTGGAAATATGTTTTTATATTTGCAGTTTAATCTCTGAAATGATTAATTTCAATTTTAAAAATATGTAACAACTTCAGGATGAGTACACCATATATGTATTCCTAAACGACATAGATCAAAAATAGAATGTTTGAAATAGAAAACCACAGAAGTCAGTGGGAAAAAAAGGGAATCAGGAAAACACAACGTAATAATAACAAAAATATGATTGGAAGAACTGCTCAAACATGAACAAAAGATTGTCAGAAAGTCTTACTTTCTAAGGCGAATTGTTTGAAATTTACAAAGGACACATCTCAATGTTAACAATTCATGGAGTTTGAAATTAAACAATGTAGAAATATACCAAGCAATCACTGTTAGAAATGTGGTATAACTATATTAAAATTAGACAAAATTAGTCTTTGGGAAAAATCAGCGGAAAACATTAAGCATAAAATGTAGGAAAAAAGCAGGTAAATTTATAGCATTTTAAATTTACCAGGAATATATAATCAGTTTACACTTAACCACTCCCAGTAATATTCCTGCAAATATACATGGAGGAAGAGTCGCGGAAATAAATGGACAGGTAGGCAAATCCACGGCCACAGTGGGGTGTTTAACACTCCTCTTTTCTCAGTTGTTGATAGAAGTGGTTCAGGCAATTAGAGAGGATTTAGAAAGATAATTGCTGGACCTGACCCAAGGTATAAGTCCACTCCCAACCACAGGACTCACTTTCCTTACAAGCACAAGGGCATTTAGAAATCTCTCTGGATTCTGACCAGCCCTCACCATATGGCAGGTCCATGGACTTCTTGGAACACACCAAGCTCATTCTCACATTAGGGTCATCCCCAATGTCCTAAGTCCATGAAAGTTCCTTTCAACACACTCCCCAGGGCTCACTCCCTCTTGTCTCTAAGATCGGAGTTTAAATGTGATCTCTCTGATGAGGTCTCAGTGAGACGTTCCCTCCTGTACACTCCAAATGACAACGTTCCACGTTCATTCATTTCATTCTGTGCATGGCACTTTCACCAAGTGCTAAGGATTCACTCACTAATTCATACATTCATTCATTCATTCATTCACTCATTCCATCATTCACTCATTCATTCATTCTCTCATTCATTCATTCATGTTCTGCCTCTCTCTCCCACCCCACAGCAATGTGAGCATCATGAACCCAGGAGCTTGGCCGTGCTGTCTACTCCTGGCCATGAAACAGAGAGAACTGATGGTAGGTGTGAAATAAATATTAGATGAATGAGTTAGTGAAGGGGTCATTTACTGGGTGAGCTCAGTTCTCTCTACTCTAATGCCCTCCCTCGGCTGACTTCCCTGAGTTGCCCCCTCGGCTGAGTGAAGTCCCTTCACTGGCAAATGGAACCTCAACCAGTAGCACCTAGGTGGTCTCATACTTTGTTCTTTCCCTCTCCTCTTGCTCCCTAAGGATTATCAATCTCCATGACAGGGCTGGAGAGCAGACAAGCCACACATTCTTTCTGGGGAGAGAGTAACATGGAGTACAAGGCATTCCACATTTAGGAAGAGAACTCAGTTATGGAAGGTCAGAAATGAAAAGTTCCTACAGACCAACACCCAGGTTGGTGGCCACAGCCCTAAATGCTGATGGAGAATCACTGCAAGTCTGTAGGGAAGATGTCTGGCTTGAGGCCACTGAGCGAAGTGGCAGATCCTTCTCAGCCTTCAGTGCTGAGCCTCTGTCCCCTCAGGGATCCACTGACCAATGAGAAGAGCCTCTTCTCATCTCCTGGGATGGAGCTTGGGGCCCCTGGCGAAGGAATGGGCCTGTTTCCACCTGTCATGTTGTCATCTAGCTTGGAAATCCTGCGAGTCCCAGGGAGGCCCTCCCCGAGTCCCCAGAGAAGACTCCCCCACTGAGTCTCCAAGGTGTGGAGAGAGCAAAAAACATCTAGGGTGGAAAATGCCTCCCATCAAGAGACATTGGGGCTCCCCCAACGATGGTTGCATCTGTGCCCCCCATGTGGAAATCACTCTTTGGTGAGAGGTGGGGGCTTCTGGAAATGGGCAATGGCGGGCGGCCAATGCTACCTCTAGTCTTTCCAATCTGAGCCCGGCCTTTCATGCTCCTGAGTCAGCATTGATGCTGTTTACATGTGTCCCAGGTGGGCTTCTGTACAAAGACTGGGAAGTGGTTTATGTGGCCTGTGCTCTATCTGCAAGCTTCAGGTAGGGTTGCAGTTACCACCCCAAACCCTAATGTGATCTGTCTGCCTCGCTCTGTCTGTCTGTCTATGCCTCTTTCTGTATGTTTGCTTTGTGTCTCTTCTGTCCAGCATCTCTGGCTGACACCCCCATGGCCACCCCCTCCATCTGAGGCTCCCCTGAATGTGGCCATTGTAGTCCATCTGAGTCCCACTATTTGGGGAACAGACTGGTTTCCTCACCTGTGACAGAAACAAGCAGTGGGTCACTAAGGTCTGACCACTCGTAGGGAGAGTCACGGAAAGAGCCGAAGCATCTGTAGGTCCCTCCGTGGGTGGCAGGGCCCAGAGGAAAGTTGGCCTGGAAGGTTCCATTGACCTTGGGCACTGCAGGGAACCTAAGTTCATGAGCCTCCCCCTCCCTTGATAGATGGTAGATGTCATAGGAGCTCCGGGAGCTGCAGGACAAGGTCACGCTCTCTCCTGCCTTAACCATGGGGCGCGGCTGGGCTGAGAGAGAAGGTTTCCCACATAGACCTGGAAGGAGAAGAGGCAGTTTCCTCAGGGAGGTTCTTCCTTGTCACAACTCCCCTCCCACCTGAGCTGAGAACTCACTCCCCTGCTCTATGGCCTAATGCTCTCTCTCTCTGTCTCACCCTCCACACCATCTCTCTTTATGTCTATTTCCTCTTTCCACCTTCTCTGTCTCTCTAGGTCTCTGACCTCACTTTCTCACCTCTAGATATGTTTTCCCTTTTTGGATTGTTTTATTCTCTCTGACTCTCCTTGGACTAGTTGACTTGATGTTACTTTTTTTAAATTCTGAGTTTCTCACTTTGTGTCCTGTTCATAACTTTCTGCATATTTCTATCTATTATCTATCGATATATCTATTTATCTATTTGGTGCCTATCTACAAATTCTCTACCTGTCATCTATATCTATATATAATCTATTTATCTATCAATTGTCTATCCAAAAATCATCTATTATCTATATCTATGTATCGTCTCTCTCTCTCTATGATTTCTCTTTGTCTGCCTCTCTATCTCTATGTATTATCTATCTATCTTCATCTTCATCATCTCTATGTATCATCGATTAATCAATGAATGAATCAATCATCATCTATGTATCTATAACCTATTATCTATCATCTACCTATTTATCATCTATCTATATCTATCCATCTATCATCTGTCTTGCTCTGCCTCTCGGTCTCTCTAGTTCTCTTTGGAATCTCTGCAATTCATCCCCACATCTCCATCTTTCTATGTCCTTGTGTCTCTCCCTCAGGACTCTAATTTTAGTGCTTTTCTCTGTTCCCTTCCATTGTTCTCTCCACTTCTCTGCCCTCTTTTCTCCCTCTTTATGTGTCTGTGAGTCTCTCAATCTCCTTCCTCTGGCTCATTCTCTGTGTGTTTATGTCTTTGCTTTTTGGTGTCCCTGATTTCTCTCTGTGTCTCTCAGTGATCCTCTCATATGTGGGGTTATTTGGAATGTGAGCCTCAGAATCCAGTCTGGGGACCGCAAGTTCACACAGTATACAGGGGTTGATGTTCTGGGGCCATGATATCCTGGGACGATTACTCTCCATTGCATGGAAGGCAGAGGTGTCAGAATAAACACGGCATCTGTAGGTGCCAGAAGGCCTGAGGCCACAGGGCCCAACTCAGGCCAGAAATATGGGTGTCCTTGGGTTCTTCTGGTAGAGAACACTTTGTGGAAGTAAAACAGAAATGAAACTTCTAACCTGTGCCAGGTCTCTGAGCAAAGTCAGCATGGAAGGACACCTCTCTCTGGCACATGTCTGTCTGTGTCTCCTTTAACTCTTTCTGTCTTTTCTAACTCCCTGTATGGCCCCTGTGTCTGTCCTCTGTTATGACACCTGGTCTGTACTTGTGTCTCCTGTTTCTCTGTCTCTGTTGGTACAGACCTCACCAAGTTAGTCTCTCTCCATAAGAATACCAAGCTCATCTTCCTTATAACCACCTGGGCCTCCAAGTCGTGGATCATTCACTCTGTGTCCCAGTGACAATGAGAATAATGTCCAGACACTCTCACCTGTAATCACGATGTCCAGAGGGTCACTGGGAGCTGACAACTGATAGGGGGAATGAGGAACAGAACCGTAGCATCTGTAGGTCCCTGCAAGGTCTTGCGTCATGCGACCGATGGAGAAGTTGGCCTTGGAGACCCCATCATGGAGCTCTCCAGTGAGGCGCAAAGTGTCATTAAACTTCCCCTCTCTGTGCAGAAGGAAGTGCTCAAACATGACATCTGACCAACATTGCAGGATGACTGTCTCTTCTGATTTCACCAGGGGACCTGGGTGGGCCAGGAGGGAAGGTTTTCTGTGGACTCCTAGGAAGAGAGGTTGTGACTTTAGAAGGCATCTCTCTTTATCATCCCATCCATGGCACCTAGAATGAGTGAGGCTTCCCCTCGCTGGTGTCTTATCTCTCTCCTTCCTCTCTGTGTCTTCATGTTCTTTTCTGTGCCCATAACTCCTGGTACAGGTCCTTCCATCTGTCTCCCTCCCTCTTCTCTGTCCCTCTGTCTCTAGTAGCTCCTGATTCCCTTGACGCTGGGCTCAGCCTCATCTCTTGGGCTGTTGTATCTATTTCGAACTAATGTCTTTCCTGCTTCTATGTGGGGGTGGAAGAGGAACCAGGATAGGCTGCACGTCCAGGCTCTTAGCAGACTGGTTCAATCTCTTTTGGACGAATTGGAATCCTTGGCAGAAGGTATGAACTGATCAGTAAGGCAGGCACCAGTGTCCACACACCCTGTTCCTGGTGGGGACTGGGAGCCACTCTTGCCATGCCTGTGCCTTCTCCATGGTGCCAGCTTCCATAGGCTGGCTTCTGGTGCTGGTTTGAGGAGTATCAACCCCTCCCTATGTGGATGGAGCCTGGTGGTGGCATCATCATCCCACCCTTGCTGATCTCGGTGTAGCCAACCTTCTCTTTGTTTGGTTTCTTTAATTAATTAATTAATTTTGGAGTCAGAGTCTCACTCCTTCACCCAGGCTGGAGTGAAGTGGTGTGGTCTAGGCTCACTGCAACCTCTGTCTCCTGGGTTCAAGTGATTCTCCTGCCCTCAACCTCCTGAGTTGCTAGGATTACATGCACCTGCCACCACGCCCGGCTATCCTTGTGTCCTTTCTTATCTTGTCCTTGACCTGGGTTCCAGTGTTGGTTTCCTGTTGGTGCTGTAGAAAATTATCAGAAGCATGGCAGCAGGAGAGAGCACACTGACCCCTTCCGTTTCTGGAGACAGAAATCGGACCCTGTTTTTTGAGGGCTAAAATCAAGGCATCTGCAGGGCTGCGTTCCCTCTGGAGACCCAGGAGAATCAGTTCCTTGACTTTTCCAGCCTCTATAGGCCACCTGCATTCATGGCTCATGGCCTTCCTCCACCTTCAAAGCTGATGGAGACTTCCATTGCACTGCTCTAATCGCCACTCCCCTCTTCCTTCTCCTCTCATGTGCACCCTTGTGATTACACTGAGCCCAGCAGGACAGTCCAGGCTGTCTCCCCATCTCAAGGTCAACTCAACAACCTGAGCTCCATCTTCCCCTTCAGTGCCTTCCCCTATAACATAAATAGTCACAGACTGCAGGGATTAGAATGCAGTCATCATTGGGGACAATTATTCTTTCCACCACAGCACCCATTTCCCTGTATTCAATCCCCTTTTATCCCAAATACAGTTAGGGTCTGGATGATGGGACGCTGGTGGACACTCCCACCAGAAGCTCTGGGACTCAGGAGGTGGGACAAGGAGAATCCCAGACAGGAGCCCTCTGACCTGTGACCATGATCACCAGGGGGTTGCTGGGTGCTGACCACCCAGTGAGGAAGTGTGGGTGTGAACCCCGACATCTGTAGGTCCCTGCATGTGCTGGGGTCACAGGGCCTATGAAAACGGTGTTTCGGAATACTCTGTTGTAGAGCTCAGGGACAGGCATCCCGTCTTCTTTGGACAGACTGAATTCGTTAAACCCAAGACGAGAGCGACACTGAAGAGCCACATGTTCTCCTTCAGACACCACGGGGCTGGGCCAGGCAGAGAGGAAGGGCTTGTCCTGACCACCTGGGGGAGAAGGAGGCGCCACCTTAGAGAGGAGGATGTGGCACTCCCTCCCTCTATTCCTTTCCAGGACTCACCAACACACGCCATGCTGACGACCATGAGCGACATGGTGCTGCCGGTGCAGACAGGCGGCCGCGCCCCAGCTCAGCTCAGCAGCGCACAGGATGTTATTTGGCGCCCTGCCCATGCAGCTTACATGTTGACTACATCATGGGAGGGTGACGTACGCAGGCTCTTTCTACCTTGCATGAGGCCCAGTGGATGCTTGCTCAAGAGCGGAACACGGCTTCCTGGAAATTGTTCTCACTAGAATTGGCACCTCACGTCCTTCACTATGACCAACTCACAACACGTCTCAGATCCAACCTCCCGAACACAAGATGCCTAAAATCTGTGCTAACGTGAAAGACTTTTCATGTATTTTTATCCGAACACGAGATGCCTAAAATCTGTGCTAACATGAAAGACTTTTCATGTATTTTTTTTGTTTTTATCTGAGATTCAAACTCTTCTTCCTGTGTAATATGCAAAGTATCTAATAGGTATTATTAATGTTTTCGGAGTCATTGTGACTAATAAACCATTAGAATTTTTCATGCTTGTATTTCTAGTATTACAGCAGAACCAGCTAAAATGATTTAAATTCCCAGGGAAGGATTATGCAATTATTTACAATCTTCGAATTGTACTTTATCAGCAAAAACCACACCTGTAAATTCTGGAGTTTTGTAGTTTAATCTAAAATTTGTCTCATGACCCAAGATTCCAGAGTCCCAACTCTGGAGTTTGCTCTCTGTCTGTCTCTCTCCCTCCCTCGTTTTAAATTTTACAGAAATATCCAGTAACATAATGCTATAGAAAATCAAGTTTTCCCCAGCACGTTGGGAAGCCGAGGTGGGCAGATCAACTGAGATAAGGAGTTTGAGAGCAGCCTGGCCAATATAGTGAAACCGTGTCTCTGTTAAAAATCCAAAAATTAGCCGTGCCTGGTGGCAGGCACCTGTAACGCCAGCTACTCAAGAGGCTGAGGCACGAGAATCGCTTGAACCTGGGAGGCGGAGGTTGCAGTGAGCTGAGATTGTGTCACTGCAGTCCAGCCTGGGCGACAGAGCAAGACTCCGCCTCAAGAAAAAAAAAGCAAACAGCCTATAATAACAAATTAGAGGGCTCTGGCTACTAAATTTAAAGGGTTCTATAAGGCTACATAAAGTGCAGCATCATCAAGAGTGTGGACACAGAGAGCCCCTTAGCAGAAACAGTGTCTAAAATACATCCATGTACACACAGTCCCTTTAGAGTTGACAAAGGCTGCCGTGTGGTTTAAGGTGGCATAGAATGTCTTCTCAATAAATAATATTAAACCAATTGGTTACACCTAGGAAAAAATAAATCTAACTCACACTATAAAAACACTTCTTAGTTTTTATCTAGTTGTACATTTTTTATGATTTATATTTAAATTTGAGAAATAAAAGTCATATACGGTCATCCTTCACTATTCGTGGGTGATTGGTTTTGAGATCTCCACTCAGATACCAAAATCTGTAGATGCTCAAGCCTCTTATATGAAATGGCACAGCGTTTGCAAATAACCTATGCACATCCTCCTGTATACATGAAATCATCTCTAGATTACTTATAATTCCTGATACAGCCTACACACAGCTTCATTTGTGTCCATTCAACATAGTTATGCTTTTTGAAACTCTGTGGATACTTTCTCTCAATATTTTTGATTTATACTTGGTTCAATAAACACCTGTAAACCCCGCAGATATGGAGGAGTGACCGTATATTTATATTATGAAAGATGATGTGTTGATATGTGTCCCCATGGAGATGAGACTAACAAGGCCTATGATTCTACAAATGTTTCATTGTGGAATGACTCTGCCAGCTTTCCAGGTCTGCAGAGAGTAAGAGTATCACTTGTTCATATGATTCGTGATCCTTGGAACCTCCTATGTGCTACATCTTTGGATGGAAATTGGAGTCCCAGAGACAAATGAGGCTCCACCCTGCTTCCAGAAACTCAGAGTCCGGGGATGAGAACTCAGTGGGGAACAGATGGGATTATATGGACATGGTACTGATAACACCGGAAGCCTTAGGCAAGAAAAGAGTCCCATTACCGAAACCATGGGGGCAGACATGTTTATTTGAAGGATGGAAAACTACATTGAAGTTATTTTAAAAAATATATAAGTTTTACTGCTGACAGAAGACTGAAAGCTAGTCTGAGGGGAGGTGGAACAGCATGAGGGAAGGTGGAACAACACGTGTCTAAGTGCTGCGTTAAGAGGGAGCCTCTTGTATGTTTGGAATTGTGAGTTCCTCAGTGTGATTGCAGCCTCAAGTAGACTAGGAAGTAAGCCAGTTAGGTTGGAGAGGTGGGCAGGGGTCAAGTGAAATGGAGAACTGTGGGCTAAGCAAAGGAGTGTGTTTTTTCTCCAGCAGGCAGTGGGGACCTTAGACATTTGTAAGCAAGTGAGAGGCACATTCAGATTTGTGGTGTGAGGAAGAGCGATGCCCTAAGATGCAGACTCATGCCTTCAGATTCCAGCTGCTGGTACATGGGAGCTGGCAACCCGGTTTTGAGACAGGGCTGTTGTCTCCCTAGAAGACGCCCTCAAGGCCTGACTGTGGTGCTCATGGGCAGGAGACAACTTTGGATCTGGACTCAGCATTTGGAAGTTCCGTGTACACGATGATATCTGTTGGGGGTGTCTTGGGCCTCTGAGAAGGGCGAGTGATTTTTCTCTGTGTGAAAACGCAGTGATTCAACTGTGTGTATGTCACCTCCTGAGGGTCTTGTTCATCAGAGTCCTGGAGAGAGGGAAATGCTGAGTGAGGGAGGGTGCTCACATTTTCCAGGACTCTTTGGGAATAACAGTAGCCACGAGCCCGGGCCGAGGAGTACCTACCTCGCTATTCGCTGTTCTGTTTCCTGCAGACTCTTGGTCCATTACCGCAGCATCTGTAGAAGACGGAAGTCAACAAAACAGCTCGGAGGGCACTTCTGGGTCCTCATTTCATAAGCAGATACCAACATACAGGGGGAGACCATAGGTGGCTGAGGTCCCTCAGTTGCCAACAGCAGACTCAGACATTCTATCTCTCTGAGCTCAAGGACCCATCCCATGAATAGCTCTGAGTTCCCATCCCATTGATTCTGTCTCCCACTTTCTGCCTGTCATGGAACCTTCTCCTGGATGTGAGTGGCTGCAGTGGACATGAGGATACAGTTCAGAATCAGGCAACGGTCTGTGAGTTGAAGGCAGGGACAGGGAGTCTGGTGCCCTCTCTAGAAAGTCCTGCCTCTGTGGCTGCTGCCTTGGGCCAGGGACCATCCTGTTTGTGAGGAACACACACCTGAGTGCTCCCATCCTGCTTCCCCACATGGCCCTGAGCTCTCTGGCCTCTGCTTCGTGAGACTTACTTTTTTTGTTGGAGCACCAGCAATGAAGGAGAAAGAAGAGGAGGATGAAGAGGATGATGACCACTGAGGTCCCAATCAGAATGTGCAGGTGTCGGGGGTTACCTGGAAGAAGATGAGACACCAATAAGAAGCTAATCTTAGCAGTTCCTCTTTATGAATTGTCTCGCATTTCTTGATTGACAGGTAACCACATAAAACACCTCTTTAGGACAAGCACCCAGATAGCAGGAGACCCAGCTTTCTCCTGCTTTTTCAGTTATAGCTCTCATAGTAACCATAGAACGTGCTGAGGATACGACTACTTTAGTTGAGATGTTTGACCCCTTCAAACCTCACATTGAAATTTCACCCCCACTGTGGGAGGTTGGGCCTCTTGAGAGGTGTTTGGGTCATGGAGGTGGATCCATCATGAACACATCAATGCTGTCCCAAGGAGACGGGGTTAGCAAGTTCCCCCTCTATTAGTTCCCGGAGAGCTGGTTGTTAAAAAGAGCTTGGAAGCTCCATCACTCCCCCTCCCCCTTGCTCCCTCTCTTGCTGTGTGATCTCTGTGGTCTCTGCACAGACAGACCCTCCTTCCCTTCTGCCAGAGTGGGAGCAGCCTGAGGCCGTCACGAGAAATAGATGCTGGTGCCATGCTTCCAGTACAGCCTGCAGAACGGTGAGACAAACCAATCTCTTTTCTTTAGAAGTTACCGAGGCTCAAGTGTTCCTTTAGAGCAACAAAAATGGCCTAAGACAGCAACTTCCTGAGATCAGGAGGAACGTCTCAGAACAGCCTGGGCTGTCTTCCTGTTCTTCCTGGAGGAGGACGTCATGCAGTGCTTTAGCTGAGTGCTTCCTGTGGCTCCAGGGTACAAAACCCAGGCTGGGCTGCTTTCTGGCTTCCCGCAGCTACACTGCAAATGGGGTGACTCCATATGTCCCGAGGAGCTTTTCTGAGCCTTGAGGGACTGGGTCACATTGAAATATAGGTTTCTGTTGTCACTCGCTGCTTATCTGTTAGTAATGAACCTGCCTATGTAACGTATTCTCTGTGTGTTCTGTCTCCCTGGAGTGACGGTGAGTGATAGGAATTGGCATAGGCCCAGGTGCAGTCCAGGAGGTGTTTAGAGTCTTCTCTGGGAAGACTGGACTGGGATTGATTCACAGCGAATGTGCTTTAGGGTTTCTACATCCACAGCATTCTTGAATCAAACAACTTGCATTCTCCAAGGAAAGAAAACAAAAGTGAAATCAAGATAAAAAAAGCGAAATAGAATTCTCTTATGTCAAACGGCCAGGAAATAGTGTTGAAGCCCGTGTGAAACCTGCTGCTCTTTGTGATCTCGGGAGACACATATTAGGCTGCTGTTCTACCCGAGAGGCTGGGGGAAGGACCACCCCCTCGGCCATCTATTGCTTCAAAACCACCTGTCCTCCTGTGAATTAGTAGGAAAGGGGAGCAGGAGCTAGTGCTGTCGCTGATCTCTGATTCCAAGATCTGGACTCACTCCAAGGAGTGTTAATGTTTACCTCCCCATGGTCTATCTGAATCTCCACAGGTGATTGGAAGTAGGGGTGAGGTGGGGGATTTGGGTGAGTGGGCAAGTTTTTTTTGTGATGACCAGAGCACTTTCTCTATTCCAGGATCTGTGCTGGAGGATTCAGCGGGCTTTCACATTTTCTATGTGATCTCATGCTCACAGAAAGCCAAATAGGGAAGAGGTTTTAGGCTCATTGCCTAATGGATAAGATAAAGGATCAAAGAAGTAATTATAGAGAAATAGAAAAATCATGATTGGAATTCAGGTCCCTTTGTCATTTGCGTGTGTTATATTATATTTATATTTATGCATTTCTTATTTTTATTTTTTGAGACGGAGTCTCCTTGTGCCACCCAGGCTGGAGTGCAGTGATGCAACCTCCACTCACTGCAACCTCCACCTCCTGGGTTGAAGTCATTCTCCTGCTTCATCCTCCAGAGTAGGAGCTGGGATTACAGGGATGCACCACCATGCTCGGCTAATTTTTGTGTTTTTCCTAGAGACAGGGTTTCACCATGTTGGCCAGGCTGGTCTCGAACTGCTGACTTCATGTGATCCACCCGCCTTGGCCTCCTGCAGTGCTGGGTTACAGGCGTGAGCCACCGTTCACAGACTTGTATATTATGCTATAATAGGTCCCTTCATTTCCACCACCCCTCATATATCTGTCACTCCTTTGCCAGGTATTGATTTATGTGTAGGATGAATAAATCTCAGAAAGAAATTAATTAAGCGAGGATTAAACAAGTAGGAAAATCAAACCCAGTAAGCGTTTCCAGTCAATGATTCTACCTCACAAACATATCTTATATCCATCTACTTCATTCATTTAGTGTCTAAATCAGCACCACATTTCACCAGTGGGGCGGCAATTGCCTTTTCCACGGTCTCCTAGATTCCAGTTATGCAACTGAGCCTCCCTTATTTTCATGTCAGTCATATTAATCATGTAGGGATTCCTAGTTACCCCGAGGTGAATTCAATGGCTGTGAGTGTCAAACACACACTCCTTGTTGCTCCTTAGTTTCCTGTGTACCCAGTGTGCTCTCCGTCTCTCTACAGTCATCTTGTCATTCTCCCCACATCATTCCCAGCATTTGAGGCAGAGCCTCTTCCTTCCATATCAGATTGTTTTCACCTTTGTGCCTTCACGGCTGACAGCTGTGTGTGCAAAATCCTTCCGCCAATCTTTCAGGGGTTCAATCCGTGTTTTTCATTAATGTCACAAATATCTGAATAGTGAGACCTTCTTTGTCACCTGAAATCATACACTCAGCATTATCTATTATTGATTTTGAATTCTGGCTGGGCACAGTGGCTCACGCCTGTAGTCCCATTACTTTGGCATGCTGAGACGGTCGGATCACTTGAGGTTGGGAGTTTCAGACAAGCTTGGCCAACGTGGTGAAACATCCTCTCTACAAAAAATATACAAAAAGAATTAGCCGGGCACGGTGGCAGTTGCCTGTAATCCCAGCTACTCGAGAGGCGGAGGCAGGAGAATCACTTGAATCCAGGAGACGCAGGTTGCAGTGAGCCAAGATCGTGACACTGCACTGTAGCCTGGAAGACAGAGGGCGACTCTGTCTCAATAAACAAAAGAACAAACAAAAAATAGATTTCACGCACAGATGCTTCCCAATGGATCATTCATTTATAGATCCACTTGTGCATTCATTTTCTGCCCTCCCATTTAACCATCTGCAATATCAGTGTCCCAAGGGCAGAGGCCAAATGCATCTTGTTCACTGTTTGTGGAAGGCAGGAGAATGCTGTCCCACCCCAAAATGTCCCTGTCCTAGCCTCCATAGCTTGTGAATATGTTATTTTACATGGAAAGGAGGAATGAAGATTGCAGATGGAATTATGGTTACTAATCAGCTGAACTTAAAACAAGGGTATCCTGGATGATTTCCAGGAGATTATGAGGGATTTTCATCTTGGTGAACCCAATAGAATCCCCAAGTTTTCAAAAGATGAGGAAGAAGGGAGAGCAGCATTCAGAGAAAGAAGTGTGGTAAGGAAGAAGGCACTGAGTGATGCCATGTGAGATGTGACCAGTCTTTGTGGGCTTTGAGGAAGGAGGAAGGGGACCAGGAGCCAAGGAACTGGGAGCCTTTAGAAGCTGGGACAAGTGAGAAGCAGATTCGTGCCTGGAATCCTCAGAGGGAAGGCAGCCTTGCTGTCACCTTGATTTTAGCCCAGTAAGATGCACTTCCTACTTTGAGCTACAGCACTGTAAGATAATTAAAAAACCGTTTTGTTTTCACCCACGAATCTTGTGGAAATTTGTTATGGCAACAATAGGAAAAGGTTCCGCACTGCACAGCCTGAGCATGGGGCCGTGGCTGAATGAGTCAGTGAGTCGAAGTGTGCGTGCATGAGCTCTGTTCTCTGTTACGGCAAGGCTCTTGCTCTGCTGAGTCAGCCAGGGTTGCTTCATGACCTACAGGAGCTCATTCCTTGGCAAGTGGAACTTCTCTAAAACACCTCGCCCTCATCAGATGTTCCCTTCCCTTCCCTCTCTCAAGTCTCCAGGAATTTATCCTCCAGTTAGGAATGCAGGCAGAACAAACATTGCATTTTTCCTGAGAAGGATGTCAGATTGGCAATCATTCTTCTAGCTTGTAGGAGGTCTCAGCTCCATAAAATGAGAGATGAAGAGATTTCACTGAGCCCTGTGTTGGGCCCAGATCCCTTTCGCTGTAGGAGTATCTGGAGTTCGGAGATGGTGGAAGACAGGTGTACAATGTCAGAGCTGTGAGATGCTGAGTCAACGCCTGAATCCAAGGTTTCCACCTCCCCAGGTTTCCAAAAGCGGATATAAGAGGGTTCTGTACTCACCGGTTTCGGAGCTTGGTTCAGTGGGTGAAGGCCAACTATTTGAAGGGTTTCCTAGAACATGAGACAGGAGAGAGGTGAGGAAATGAGGGTTTCTGTCCTCCACTCAGTGGAAATCTTTGAGGATGGTTCATGGCCAACACTCTGTTATCTAATATTGGGCCCTGGGAGTCCTGGGATCCTTTTTTCCATAATTTTTTTATGTGACACCCACTGTCTTGAGACTTCAAGGTATAAAGAGAAAACAGGAGCATCACACTACCTGATCTCAAAATATGTTACAGAGCTGTAGTAAGCAAAATAGCATGACATTGGCATAAAGAAAGGCACATAGAACAACGGAGCAGAATGAATAACACAGATATATTCCATGCATTTACATCCAATGGTTTTTTATTTTTTCTTTTGAGATGGAGTCTTGCTCTGTCACTCAGGCTGGAGTGCAAAGGTGCAATCTCGGTTCACTGCAACCTCAGCCTCCTGGGTTCAATCATTCTCTTGCCTCAAACTCCTGAGTAGTGGTATTACAGGTGCTGACCACCATGCTCAGCTAATTTTTATATTTTTAGTGGAGATGATGTTTCATCACGTCGGCCAGACTAATCTTGAACTCCTGGCCTCAGGTGATCCACCCACCTTGGGCTCCCAAAGTGCTGAAATTGCAGGTGTTAGCCACCAAGCCCAGCCCATCCAATGGACTTTGACAAAGATGCCAAGAACTCACAATCAGGAAAGGACAGTCTTTTCAATAAACAGTGCAGGGAAACCTGGACATCTACATGCAGAGGAATGAAACTGCACCTCTACCTGTCACCATACACAAAAATCAAATGAAAATGGATTAAAGATGTGAGTCTAAGGCCTGAACCTATGAAACACGTAGAACAAAATATTGGGGAAATGCTCCAGGACACTTGTCTGAAGAAAGACATTTTGTTTTAAACCTTGAAAACACAAGTAATCGAAGCAAAAATAGACCATTGGGATTACCTCATACTAAGCAACTTCTGCACCGCTAAAAATAAACCAACAAAGTGAAGAGACAACCCACAGATTGGGAGCAAATATGTGCAAACTATGCATCTGAGATGGGATTAATAACTAGAAATATAAGAAGCTCAAACAACTCAATAAAACAAATGATTTAATTGAAAAAGGAGCAAAAGACATGAAATTTCCCCACATACGAAAAACTGCTCAGTATCACTCATCATCAGAGAAACGCAAATTAAATTCAAAGTGAGTTTTCATCTCACCCCATTAAAATGGCTTTTAGGCCGGGTGAGGTGGCTCACGTTTGTCATCCTAGAACTTTGAGAGCCTGAGGTGGGTGAATCTCATAAGGTCGGGAGTTTGAGACCAGTATGACCCACATAGAGAAACGCTGTCTCTACTAAAAATACAAAAATTAGTCGGGCGTGGTGGCGTGTGCCTGTAATTCCAGCTACTCGGGAGGCTGAGGCAGGAGAATCGCTTGAACCTGGGAGGTGGAGGTTGTGGTGAGCCGAGATCGCGCCACTGCACTCCAGCCTGGGTGAGAAGAGCAAAACTCCATCTCAAAATAAAATGAAATAAAATAAAATGGCTTTTAGCTGCAAGACAGGCAAAAGAAATGCTGGCAAGGTGGTAGAGAAAGGAGAACCCTGGTACCCTGTTGGGAGGAGTGTAAATTAGTACAGCCATTACGGAGAAAAGTATGGAAGTCCTTTAAAGAACTAAAAAGAGGTTGGGTGCGGTGGATCATGCCTGTAATCCCGGCACTTTGGGAGACTGAGGCGGGCACCTCAGTTGAGGTCATGAGTTTGAGAGCAGCCCAGCCAACATGGGGAAACCCCATCTATACTAAAAAAACCAAAAAGTAGCCAGGGATGGTGGTGTGCACCTGTAATCCCAGCTACTAGGGAGGCTGAGGCAGGAAAATCATTTGAACCCAGGAGGCGTAGGTTGCAATGAGCCAAGGTCGCACCACTTTGACTCCAGCTTGGGCTAAGGAGGGAAACTCTTTCTCAAAAAAGAAAAAAAGAAAAAAAGAGAACTTTCATAGTATCCAGCAATTTCACTACTGGGTTTATATCCAAAGGAAAGTAAATCAATATATCGAAGTGATATCTGCACTCGTATGATTGGTGCAGCACTGTTCACAGTAGCCAAGATGAGGAGTCAACCTACCTGCCCATCAGTGGGTAAATGGATAGAGAGAATGTAGTACATACGCATAGTGGAGACTACTCATCCATAGAAAGAATAACATCCTGTCATTTGCAGCCACATGGATGGAACTGGAGGTCATTACAAAGATTCCCATTTCTCACCCATATACAGGAGCTAAAAGGTGGATCTCATGAAGGTAGAGAGTAGAATGGTGGCTACTGGAGGACAGGAAGAAAAGGGTGGAGGGTAAAAAAAATGTATATATATATATGTATATAAATGTATTTATGACCACTAGACTTTACACTTAAAAATGGTAAATGTGGCTGGGCGCGGTGGCCCATGCCTGTAATCCCAGCACTTTGGGAGGCAGATGCGGGTGGATCACTTGGTCAGGAGTTCGAGACCAGCTCGACCAACATGGTGAAACCACCTCCCTACTAAAAATACAAAAAGTAGCCTGGCGTGGTGGTGCGTGCCTGTAGCACCAGCTACTCAGGTGGCTGAGGCAGGAGAATCGCTTGAACCCAGGAGGTGGAGGTTGCAGTGAGCTGAGATTGTGCCACTGCACTCCAGCATAGGGGACACAGCTAGACTCCACCTCAAAAAAAAATGTTAAAAGTGGTAAGCTATATAGGTATATTTATCCTCAATAAATATTTCTTCAAAGAAAAGTAAAGGGTGTAGGGGTTGCTGGTGATGACATCTCTGTGTGGGTGAGAGGCCAGGATGGGCTTCTGGGAAATGGGTAAGGTTGAGGGGCTGAGGGAACCTCTGATCTCCCCAAACTGAGCCCAGTCTCCCTCCTCTGGGTCTCTCCTGACCGCTTTCTCCATCTGCCTGGGTGCCTGGAGCCCTGGCCGTGGGCCTCCATGCAGGCCATGTAGGAGGGTTTGGAGGTGCCCTGTCGGCCATCCTGTGCCCTGATCCCTCCCTCACACCGAGGCTGCGTCTTCTCTCTGCATCTGTCCATGCTTCTCTCCATCATCAGCAGGAAGCTCCTCAGCTAAGGCTCTAGGATCATAGGACATGGGACAGCCATGGGCTTTCCTCACCTGTGACAGAAACAAGCAGTGGGTCACTTGACTTTGACCACTCGTATGGAGAGTCACGGAAAGAGCCGAAGCATCTGTAGGTCCCTCCATGGGTGGCAGGGCCCAGAGGAAAGTTGGCCTGGAATGTTCCGTTGACCTTGGTCCCTGCAGGGAGCCTACGTTCATGGGCCTCCCCTTCCCTGGATAGATGGTACATGTCATAGGAGCTCCGGGAGCTGCAGGACAAGGTCACATTCTCTCCTGCCAGAACCGTGGGGCCCGGCTGGGCTGAGAGAGAAGGTTTCTCATATAGACCTGGAAGGAGAAGAGGCAGTTTCCTCAGGGAGGATCTTCCTTGTCACAGCTCCCTTCACCTGAGCTGAGAACTCACTCCCCTGTTCTATGACCTAATGCTCTCTCTCTCTCTCTCTCACCCTCTACCCCATCGCTCTTCATGTCTATTTCCTCCTTCCACCTTCTCTGTCTCTCTAGGTCTCTGACCTCACTTCCCCACCTCTAGATATGTTTTCTCTTTTTGGATTGTTTTATTCTCTCTGACTCTCCTTGGATTGGTTGACTTGATGTTACTTTTTTTAATTCTGAGTTTCTCACTTTGTGTCCTGTTCATAACTTTCTGCATATTTCTATCTATTATCTATCGATCTATCTATTTATCTATTCGGTGCCTATCTACAAATTCTCTACCTGTCATCTATATCTATATATCATCTATTTATCCATCAATTGTCTATCTATCCATCAATCATCTATTATCTATATCTATGTATCATCTCTCTCTCTCTATGATTTCTCTATGTCTGCCTCTGTATCTCTATGTATTATCTATCTATGTGTCTTCATCATCATCATCTCTATGTCTCATCTATTAATGAATCAATCAATCATCATCTATGTATCTATAACCTATTATCTATCATCTACCTATTTATCATCTATCTATATCTATCCATCTATCATCTGTCTTGCTCTGCCTCTCGGTCTCTCTAGTTCTCTTTGGAATCTCTGCAATTCATCCCCACATCTCCATCTTTCAATGTCCTTGTGCCTCTCCCTCAGGAGTCTAACTTTAGTGATTTTCTCTGCTCCCTTCCATCATTCTCACTTCTCTGCCCTCTTTTCTCTCTCTTTATGTGTCTGTGAGTCGCTCAATCTCCTTCCTCTGGCTCATTCTCTGTGTGTTTATGTCTTTGCTTTTTGGTGTCCCTGATTTCTCTCTGTGCCTCTCACTGATCCTCTCATAAGTGGGCTTATTTGGAATATGAGCCTCAGAATCCAGTCTGGAGACTACAAGTTCACACAGCATACAGGGGTTGGTGTTGTGGGGCCATGATATCCTGGGACGATTACTCTCCATTACATGGAAGGCAGAGGTGTCAGAATAAACATGGCATCTGTAGGTGCCACAAGGCCTGAGGCCACAGGGCCCAACTCAGGTCAGAAATATGGGTGTCCTTGGGTTCTCCTGGTAGAGAACACTTTGTGGAGGTAAAACAGAAATGAAACTTCTAACCTGTGCCAGGTCTCTGAGCAAAGTCAGCATGGAGGGACACCTCTCTCTGGGACATGTCTGTCTGTGTGTCTCCTTTAACTCTTTCTGTCTTTTCAAACTCCCGGTATGGCCCCTGTGTCTGTTCTCTGTTATGACACCTGGTCTCTACTTGTGTCTCCTGTTTCTCTGTCTCTGTTGGCACAGACCTCACCAAGTCAGTCTCTCTCCATAAGAATACCAAGCTCATCTTCCTTACAGCCACCTGGGCCTCCAAGTCCTGGATCATTCACTCTGCATCCCAATGACAATGAGAAGAAAGTCTGGACACTCTCACCTATGATCACGATGTCCAGAGGGTCACTGGGAGCTGACACCTGATAGGGGGAGTGAGTAACAGAACCGTAGCATCTGTAGGTCCCTGCCAGGTCTTGCGTCATGCGACTGATGGAGAAGTTGGCCTTGGAGACCCCATCATGGTGTTCTCCAATGAGGCGCAAAGTGTCGTTAAACATCCCCTCTCTGTGCAGAAGGAAGTGTTCAAACATGACATCTGACCAACATTGCAGGATGACTGTCTCTTCTGATTTCACCAGGCGACCTGGGTGGGCCAGGAGGGAAGGTTTTCTGTGGACTCCTAGGAAGAGAGGTTGTGAGTTTAGAAGGTGTCTCTCTTTATCATCCCATCCATGGCACCTGGATTGAGTGAGGCTTCCCCTTCCTGGTGTCTTATCTCTCTCCTTCCTCTCTGTGTCTTCATGTTCTTTTCTGTGCCCATAACTCCTGGTGCAGGTCCTTCCATCTGTCTCCCTCACTCTTCTCTGTCCCTCTGTCTCTAGTAGCCTCTGATTCCCTTGCCGCTGGGCTCAGCCTCATCTCTTGGGCTGTTGTATCTATTTCGAACTAATGTCTTTCCTGCTGTCTGTGTGGGGGTGGAAGAGGAACCAGGATAGGCTGCACATCCAGGCTCTTAGCAGCCTGGTTCAATCTCTTTTGGACGAATTGGAATCCTTGGCAGGAGGTATGAACTGATCAGTAAGGCAGGCACCAGTGGCCACACACCCTGTTCCTGGTAGGGACTGGGAGACACTCTTGCCATGCCAGTGCCAGCTTCCATAGCCTGGCTCCTGGTGCTGGTTGGAGGAGTATCAACCGCTCCCTATGTGGATGGAGCCTGGTGGTGGCATCATCATCCGAGCCTTGCTGATCTCAGTGTAGCCAACCTTCTCCTTGTTTGGTTTCTTTAATTAATTAATTAATTTTGGCGACAGAGTCTCACTCCTTTGCCCAGGCTGGAGTGAAGTGGTGTGGTCTAGGCTTACTGCAACCTCTGTCTCCTGGGTTCAAGTGATTCTCCTGCCCTCAGCCTCCCAAGTCGCTAGGATTACATGCACCTGCCACCATGCCTGGCTATCCTTGTGTTGTTTCTTAACCTGTCCTTGACCTGGGTTCCAGTGTTGGTTTCCTGTTGCTGCTGTAGAAAATTATCAGAAGCATGGCAGCAGGAGAGAGCACACTAACCCCTTCCAATTCTGGAGACAGAAATCGGACCCTGTTTGTCGTGGGTAAAATCAAGGTACCTGCAGGGCTTCGTTCCCTCTGGAGACTCAGGAGAATCAGTTCCTTGACTTTTCCAGCCTCTATAGGCCACCTGCATTCATGGCTCCTGGACTTCCTCCACCTTCAAAGCTGATGGAGACTCCCATTATGCTGCTGTAATCCCCACTCCCCTCTTCCTCCTCCTTTCATGTGGACCCCTGTGACTACACTGAGCCCATCAGGACAGTCCAGGCCTTCTCCCCATCTCAAGGTCAACTCATCAACAACCTGAGCTCCATCTTCTCCTTCAGTCCCTTCCCCTATATCATAAATAGTCACAGACTCCAGGGATTAGAATGTAGTCATCACTGGGGACAACACAGTGCTTCCCACCACAGCACCCATTTCCCTGTATTCAATCCCCCTTTACCCCAAATACAGTCAGGACTTGCATGATGGGACCCGCAAGGACACGCCCACCAGGAGCTCTGGGATTCAGGAGGTGGGACAAGGAGAATCCCAGACAGGAGCCCTCTGACCTGTGACCGTGATCTCCAGGGGGTTGCTGGGTGCCGACCACCCACTGGGGTAGTGTGGTTGTGAACCCCGACATGTATAGGTCCCTGCGTGTGCTGGGGTCACAGGGCCCATGAAAAGGCTGTTCCAGAATATTATGTTGTAGAGCTCAGGGACAGGCACCCCATCTTCCTTTTACAGACTGAAGTTGTTAAACCCAAGATAAGAATGACACTGAAGAATCACATGTCCTGGAGGCACCACAGGGCTTGGCCAGGCAGACAGCAAGGGCTTGTCCTGACCACCTTGGGGAGAAGGAGGCACCGCCTTAGAGAGGAGGATGTGGAGCCACCCCTCCCTCCCTGTGCTCTGAAGATTCTCCTCGCTTTCCAAGTTTCTATGGCTGCTATCACACCTTGGTGCCCAGGGCTAAAGGAAGGACCCATCCCGCAAACACAAGGTGTCTCCCTACAACAAAAGTGTCAGCTGAGAACTTTGAGCAAGTGCTGAGTAAGAGACTCCTACTAGATTTTAATACTGTAAGATTACTCACATAAAACAACACAGGGTAGACATGGGGTGGAGGGCATGTCCTTTGAGAATGGAATATCAGCTGATGCCTGAACGAAAATAAACAACTGAGTCCCCATCAGAGGATTGGAATGTCAGGGCCATGGCTGTGGTTTTCCCACCTCTTCTGGTAGAATGACAGCAGCCACACTGCAGCCCCTACCGTCATGGAAACGCTGAAGTGTGTGAGTAACACCTTTGTCCTCAGAGGATCTGCTGTTCCTACCACTTCCCCACCACACACCCCAGCTTTGAGCACCGTAGTCTAACCCTGGTCCCCACAGAACTTGACTCTGCCAAGGGAATGAAAGGCCAGGGAGGCAAGGTCAGAAATGTGGGCCCAGCACCCCAGGGTCCCTTCTTCCTAGTTTATGAGAGACTCCCTGACAGGACTTCCCTCCCATTTCAGGAAAATCCTCTTATGTGGGGAGATGACACCCGAAGGTTTGGAGAAGGACTCACCCTCATGTGGCCAGGCCCCCTGCAGCAAGAAGAACCCTGGAAAGAAAGATCATGATGGATGACCCATCTGCAGGCAAACCAGGGCACCCTTGCTGCCCCCACTGGGCTGTGAGTCTTGGTAGCCAGGCCCTTCCTGGGCTGAAGGTAAACTCACCCTCAGTGCCTACCTGCACCCAAGAACAGGGCTGTCGGCTGTGCAGAGACCCAGCCTCCAGGTCCATATCCCCACCTCAAGCCCATATCTCCACTCCAGGCCCATATCTCCACTCCAGGCCGATATTTCCACCCTAAGCCCATATCGCCAATCCAGGCCCATATCTCCAATCCAGGCTCAGATCTCCACCCTGGGCCCATATCTCCAATCCAGGCCCTTATCTCCACTCCAGGTCCATATCTCCTCTCCAGTCCCATATCTCCACTCCAGGCCCATATATCCTCTCCAGTCCCATATCTCCACACCCAGGCCCGTATCTCCATCCTAGGCACATATCTCCTCTCCAGGCCCAGATATCGACCTCTAGGCCCATATCTCCACTCCTGGCCCATATCTCCACTCCAGGCCCAGATATCGACCTCTAGGCCCATATCTCCACTCCTGGCCCATATCTCCACTCCAGGCCCATGTCTCCACTTCAGGCCCATATCTCTACTGCAGGCCCGTAACTCCACCTCCAGGCCCATGACTCCACTCCAGGCCCATATCTCCACCTCCAGGCCCATATCTCCCCTCCAGGTTCCTATCTCCCCTCCAGGTTCCTATCTCCACTCCAGGCCCAGATCTCCACTACAGTCCCATCACTCCACCTCCAGGCCTATATCTCGACCTCTGGGCCCAGATCTCCACTTCTAGGCCCATCACTCCATCTCTAGGCCCATATATCCACTCCAGGCCCAGATCTCCACTCCAGGCCCATAACTCCACCTCCAGGCCTATATCTCCACCTCTGGGCCCAGATCTCCATCCCCGCGCTCCCTCCCTCTATTGCTTTCCAGGACTCACCAACACACGCCATGCTGACGACCAAGAGCGACATGGTGCTGCCGGAGCAGACAGGCAGCCGCGACCGAGCTCAGCTCAGCAGCGCACAGGATGTTATTTGGCGCCCTGCCCATGCAGTTTACATGTTGACCACATCATGGGAGGGTGACGTACGCAGGCTCTTTCTACCTTGCATGAGGCCCAGTGGGTGCTCGCTCAAGAGCGGAACACGGCTTCCTGGAAATTGTTCTCGCTAGAATTTGACACCTAGTGTCCTTCACTATGACCAACTCAAAACACGTCTGAGATCCAACCTCCCGAACACGAGATGCCTAAAATCTGTGCTAACATGAAAGACTTTTCATGTATTTCTATTGTTTTTATCTGAGATTCAAACTCTTCTTCCTGTGTAATATGCAAAATATCTAATAGGTATTATTAATGTTTTCAGAGTCATTGTGACTAACAAACCATTAGAATTTTTCATGCTTGTATTTCTAGTATTACAGCAGAACCAGTTAAAATGATTTAAATTCCCAGGGAAGGATTATGCAATTATTTACAATCTTAGAATTGTACTTTATCAGTAAAAACCCCACCTGTAAATTCTGGAGTTTTGTAGTTTAATCTAAAATTTGTCTCATGACCCAAGATTCCAGAGTCCCAACTCTGGAGTTTGTTTTCCGTCTGTCTCTCTCCCTCCCTCATTTTAAATTTTACAGAAATATCCAGTAACATAATGCTATAGAAAATCAAGTTTCCCCAGCACGTTGGGAAGCCGAGGTGGGCGGATCAACTGAGATAAGGAGTTTGAGAGCAGCCTGGCCAATATAGTGAAACCGTGTCTCTGCTAAAAATCCAAAAATTAGCCGTGCCTGGTGGCAGGCACCTGTAACGCCAGCTACTCAAGAGGCTGAGGCACGAGAATCGCTTGAACCTGGGAGGCAGAAGTTGCAGTGAGCTGAGATTGTGTCACTGCAGTCCAGCCTGGGCGACAGAGCAAGACTCCGCCTCAAGAAAAAAAAGCAAATAGCCTATAATAACAAATTAGAGAGCTCTGGCTACTAAATTTAAAGGGTTCTATAAGGCTACATAAAGTGCAGCATCATCAAGAGTGTGGACACAGAGAGCCCCTTAGCAGAAACAGTGTCTAAAGTACATCCATGTACACACAGTCCCTTTAGAGTTGACAAAGGCTGCCGTGTGGTTTAAGGTGGCATAGAATGTCTTCTCAATAAATAATATTAAACCAATTGGTTACACCTAGGAAAAAATAAATCTAACTCACACTATAAAAACACTTCTTAGTTTTTATCTAGTTGTACATTTTTTATGATTTATATTTAAATTTGAGAAATAAAAGTCATATACGGTCATCCTTCACTATTCGTGGGTGATTGGTTTCGAGATCTCCACTCAGATACCAAAATCTGTAGATGCTCAAGCCTCTTAAATGAAATGGCACAGAGTTTGCAAATAACCTATGCACATCCTCCTCTATAGATGAAATCATCTCTAGATTACTTATAATTCCTGATGCAGCCTACACACAGCTTCATTTGTGTCCATTCAACACAGTTCTGCTTTTTGTAACTCTGTGGATACTTTCTCTGAATATTTTTGATTTATACTCGGTTCAATAAAGAACTGTAAACCCCACAGATATGGAGGAGTGACTGTATATTTATAGTGTGAAAGATGATGTGTTGATATGTGTCCCTGTGTAGATGAGACTAACAAGGCCTATGACTCTACAAATGTTTCATCTTGGAATGACTCTGCCAGATTTCCAGGTCTGCAGAGAGTAAGAATATCACTTGTTCATGTGATTCACGATCCTTGGAACCTCCTATGTGCTACATCTTTGGATGGAAATAGGAGTCCCAGAGACAAATGAGGCTCCACCCTGCTTCCAGAAACTCAGAGTCCGGGGGTGAGAACCCAGTGGAGAACAGATGGGGTTATGTGGACATGGTAATGATAACACTGGAAGTCTTAGGCAAGAAAAGAGTCCCATTACCGAAACCATGAGGGCAGACATGTTTATTTGAAGGAGGGAAAACTACATTGAAATTATTTTAAAAAATATATAAGTTTTACTGCTGACAGAAGGCTGAAAGATACTCTGAGGGGAGGTGGAACAGCATGAGGGAAGGTGGAACAGGACGTGTCTAAGTGCCGTGTTAAGAGGGAGCCTCTTGTATGTTTGGAACTGTGAGTTCCTCAGTGTGATTGCAGCCTCAAGTAGACTAGGAAGTAAGCCAGTAAGGTTGGAGAGGTGGGCAGGGGTCAAGTGAAATGGAGAATTGTGGGCTAAGCAAAGGAGTGTGTTTTCTCTCCAGCAGGCAGTGGGGACCTTAGACATTTGTAAGCAAGAGAGAGGCACATTCAGATTTGTGGTGTGAGGAAGAGCGATGCCCTAAGATGCAGACTCACGCCTTCAGATTCCAGCTGCTGGTACATGGGAGCTGGCAACCCGGTTTTGAGACAGGGCTATTGTCTCCCTAGAAGATCCCCTCAAGGCCTGACTGTGGTGCTCATGGGCAGGAGACAACGTTGGATCTGGACTCAGCATTTGGAAGTTCCGTGTACACTCTGGTATCTGTTGGGGGTGTCTTGGGCCTCTGAGAAGGGCGAGTGATTTTTCTCTGTGTGAAAACGCAGTGATCCAACTGTACGTATGTCACCTCCTGAGGGTCTTGTTCATCAGAGTCCTGGAGAGAGGGAAATCCTGAGTGAGGGAGGGTGCTCACATTTTCCAGGACTGTTTGGGAATAACACTAGCCACGAGGCTGGGCCGAGGAGCACCTACCTAGCTATTCGCTGTTCTGTTCCCTGCAGGCTCTTGGTCCATTACAGCAGCATGTGTAGGAGACGGAAGTCAACAAAAGAGCTCGGAGGGCACTTCTGGGTCCTCATTTCATAAGCAGATACCAACAAACAGGGGGAGGCCATAGGAGCCTGAGGTCCCTCAGTTGCCAACAGCAGACTCAGACATTCTATCTCTCTGAGCTCAAGGACCCATCCCATGAATAGCTCTGAGTTCCCATCCCATTGATTCTGTCTCCCACTTTCTGCCTGTCATGGAACCTTCTCCTGGATGTGAGTGGCTGCAGGGGACGTGAGGATACAGTTCAGAATCAGGCAACGGTCTGTGAGCTGAAGGCAGGGACAGGGAGTCTGGTGCCCTCTCTAGAAAGTCCTGCCTCTGTGGCTGCTGCCTTGGGCCAGGGACCATCCTACCTGTGAGGAACACACACCTGAGTGCTCCCATCCTGCTTCCCCACATGGCCCGGAGCTCTCTGGCCTCTCCTTCGTAAGACTTACTTTTCTTGTTGGAGCACCAGCGATGAAGGAGAAAGAAGAGGAGGAGGATGAAGAGGATGATGACCACTGAGGTCCCAATCAGAACGTGCAGGTGTCTTGGGTTACCTGGAAGAAGATGAGACACCAATAAGAAGCTAATCATAGCAGTTCCTTTTTATGAATTGTCTCGCATTTCTTGATTGACAGGTAACCACGTAATACACCTCTTTAGGACAAGCACCCAGATGGCGGGAGACCCAGCTTTCTCCTGCTTTCTCAGTTATAGCTCTCAAAGTAACCATAGAATGTGCTGAGGATACAACTACTTTAGTTGAGATGTTTGACCCCTTCAAACCTCACATTGAAATTTCACCCCCATTGTGGGAGGTTGGGCCTCTTGAGAGGTGTTTGGGTCATGGAGGTGGATCCATCATGAACAGATCAATGCTGTCCCAAGGAGACGGGGTTAGCAAGTTCCCCCTCTATTAGTTCCTGGAGAGCTGGTTGTTCAAAAGAACTTGGAAGCTCCATCACTCCCCCTCCCCCTTGCTCCCTCTCTTGCCGTGTGATCTCTGTGGTCTCTGCACAGACAGACCCTCCTTCCCTTCTGCCAGAGTGGGAGCAGCCTGAGGCCATCACGAGAAATAGATGCTGGTGCCATGCTTCCAGTACAGCCTGCAGAACGGTGAGACAAACCAATCTCTTTTCTTTAGAAGTTGCCCAGGCTCAAGTGTTCCTTTAGAGCAACAAAAATGGACTAAGACAGCAACGTCCTGAGATCAGGAGGAACGTCCCAGAGCAGCCTGGGCTGTCTTCCTGTTCTTCCTGGAGGAGGACGTCATGCAGTGCTTTAGCTGAGTGCTTCCTGTGGCTCCAGGGTACAAAACCCAGGCTGGGCTGCTTTCTGGCTTCCCCCAGCTACACTGCAAATGGGGTGACTCCATATGTCCCGAGCAGCTTTTCTGAGCCTTGAGGGACTGGCTCACATTGAAATGTAGGCTTCTGTTTTCACTCGCTGCTTATCTGTTAGTAATGAACCTGCCTATGTAACGTATTCTCTGTGTGTTCTGTCTCCCTGGAGTGACGGTGAGTGATAGGAATTGGCGTAGGCCCAGGTGCAGTCTAGGAGGTGTTTAGGGTCTTTTCTGGGAAGACTGCACTGGGATTGACACACAGCGAATGTGCTTTAGGATTTCTACATCCACAGCATTCTTGAGTCAAACAACTTGCGTTCTCCAAGGAAAGGAAACAAAAGTGAAATCAAGATAAAAAAGCGAAATAGAGTTATCTTATGTCCAACAGCCAGGAAATCGTGTTGAAGCCCCTGTGAAACGTCCTACTCTTTGTGATCTCGGGAGACACATGTTAGGCTGCTGTTCTACCTGAGAGGCTGGGGGAAGGACCACCCCCTCCACCATCTATTGCTTCAATACCACCTGTCCTCCTGTGAATTAGTAGGAAAGGGGAGCAGGAGCTAGTGCTGGTGCTGATCTCTCATTCCAAGATCTGGACTCACTCCAAGGAGTATTAATGTTTACCTCCCCATGGTCTATCTGAATCTCCACAGGTGATTGGAAGTAGGGGTGAAGTGGGGGATTTGAGTGAGACGGCAAGTTTTTTTTGTGATGAACAGAGCACTTTCTCTATTCCACGATCTGTGCTGGAGGATTCAGCGGGCTTTCACATTTTCTATATGGTCTCATGCTCACAGAAAGCCAAATACGGAAGAGGTTTTAGGCTCATTGCCTAATGGATAAGACAAAGGATCAAAGAAGTAATTATAGAGAAATACAAAAATGATGATTGGAATTCAGGTGCCTTTGTCATTCGTGTGTGTTTTATTATATTTATGCATTTCTTATTTTTATTTTTTGAGACGGAGTCTCCTTGTGTCACCCAGGCTGGAGTGCAGTGATGCAATCTCCACTCACTGCAACCTCCACCTCCTGGGTTGAAGTCATTCTCCTGCTTCATCCTCAAGAGTAGGAGCTGGGATTACAGGGATGCACCACCATGCTCGACTAATTTTTGTATTTTTCATAGAGACAGGGTTTCACCATTTTGGCCAGGCTGGTCTGGAACTCCTGACTTCAAGTGATCCACCCGCCTTGGCCTCCTGCAGTGCTGGGAATTGCCTTTTCCACGGCCTGAGCATGGGGCCGTGGCTGAATGAGTCAGTGAGTCGAAGTGTGCGTGCATGAGCTCCGTTCTCTGTTAAGGCAAAGCTCTTGCTCTGCTGAGTCAGCCAGGGTTGCTTCATGACCAACAGTAATTCATTCCTGGGCAAGTGGAACTTCTCTAAAACACCTCGCCCTCATCAAATGTTCCCTACCCTTCCCTCTCTCAAGCCCCCAGGAATTTATCCTCCAGTTAGGAATGCAGGCAGAACAAACATTGCATTTTTCCTGAGAAGGATGTCAGATTGCCAATCATTTTTCTAGCTTGTAGGAGATCTCAGCTCCATAAAATGAGAGATTAAGAGATTTCACTCAGCCCTGTTTTGGGTCCAGATCCCTTTCGCTGTTGGAGTATCTGGAGTTCGGAGATGGTAGAAGACAGGCGTACAATGTCAGAGCTGTGAGATGCTGAGTCAACGCCTGAATCCAAGGTTTCCACCTCCCCAGGTTTCCAAAAGCGGATATAAGAGGGTTCTGTACTCACCGGTTTCGGAGCTTGGTTCAGTGGGTGAAGGCCAACTATTTGAAGGGTTTCCTAGAACACGAGACAGGAGAGAGGTGAGGAAATGAGGGTGTCTGTCCTCTACTCAGTGGAAATCTTTGAGGTTGGTTCATGGCCAACACTCTGTTATCTAATATTGGGCCCTGGGAGTCCTGGGATCCTTTTTTCCGTAATTTTTGTATGTGACGGCTACTGTCTTGAGACTTCAAGGTATAAAGAGAAAACAGGAGCATCACACTACCTGATCTCAAAATATGTTGCAGAGCTGTAGTAAGCAAGACAGCATGACATTGGCATGAAGAAAGGCACATAGAACAACGGAGCAGAATGAATAACACAGATATAATCCATGCATTTACCTCCAATGTATTTTTTGTTTTTCTTTTGAGATGGAGTCTTGCTCTGTCACCCAGGCTGGAGTGCAGAGGTGCAATCTCGGTTCACTGCCACCACAGCCTCCTGGGTTCAATCACTTCTCTGGCCTCAAACTCCTGAGTAGTGGTATTACAGGTGCTGACCACCATGCTCAGCTAATTTTTATATTTTTAGTGGAGACGATGTTTCATCACGTCGGCCAGAGTAATCTTGTACTCCTGTCCTCAGGTGATCCACCAGCCTTGGCCTCCCAAAGTGCTGAAGTTGCTGGTGTTAGCCACCATGCCCAGCCCATCCAATGGACTTTGACAAAGGTGCCAAGAACTCACAATCAGGAAAGGACAGTCTTTTCAATAAACAGTGCAGGGAAACCTGGACATCTACATGCAGAGGAATGAAACTGCACCTCTGCCTGTCACTATACACAAAAATCAAATGAAAATGGATTAAAGATGTGAGTCTAAGGCCTGAACCTATGAAACACGTAGAAGAAAATATTGGGGAAATGCTCCAGGACGTTTGTCTGAGGGAAGACATTTTGTTTTAAACCTTGAAAACACAAGTAATCGAAGCAAAAATAGACCATTGGGATTACCTCAAACTAAGCAACTTCTGCACTGCTAAAAATAAACCAACAAAGTGAAGAGACAACCCACAGATTGGGAGCAAATATGTGCAAACTATGCATCTGAGATGGGATTAATAACTAGAAATATAAGAAGCTCAAACAACTCAATAAAACAAATGATTTAATTGAAACAGGAGCAAAAGACATGAAATTTCCCCACATACTAAAAAGTGCTCAGTATCACTCATCATCAGAGAAACGCAAATTAAAATCAAAGTGAGTTTTCATCTCACCCCATTAAAATGGCTTTTAGGCCGGGTGAGGTGGCTCACGTCTGTCATCCTAGAACTTTGAGAGCCTGAGGTGGGTGAATCTCATAAGGTCGGGAGTTTGAGACCAGTCTGACCCACATGGAGAAACACTGTCTCTACTAAAAATACAAAAATTAGTCGGGCGTGGTGGCGTGTGCCTGTAATTCCAGCTACTCGGGAGGCTGAGGCAGGAGAATCGCTTGAACCTGGGAGGTGGAGGTTGCGGTGAGCCGAGATCGCACCACTGCACTCAGCCTGGGTGACAAGAGCGAAACTCCATCTCAAAATAAAATGAAATAAAATAAAATGGCTTTTAGCTGCAAGACAGGCAAAAGAAATGCTGGCAAGGTGTTAGAGAAAGGAGAATCCTGGTATCCTGTTGGGAGGAGTGTAAATTAGTACAGCCATTACGGAGAAAAGTGTGGAAGTCCTTTAAAGAACTAAAAAGAGGTTGGGTGAGGTGGATCAGGCCTGTAATCCCGGCACTTTGGGAGACCGAGGCGGGCACCTCAGTTGAGGTCATGAGTTTGAGAGCAGCCCAGCCAACATGGGGAAACCGCATCTATACTAAAAAAAACAAAAAGTAGCCAGGCATGGTGGCGTGCGCCTATAATCCCTGATACTAGGGAGGCTGAGGCAGGAAAATCATTTGAACCCAGGAGGCAGAGGTTGCAATGAGCCAAGATCATATCACTTGTACTCCAGCCTGGCACAGAGGGAAACTGTCTCAAAAACAAAAACAAAACAACAAACGAAAAACTAAAAAGAGAACTTTCATAGTATCCAGCAATTTCACTACTGGGTTTATATCCAAAGGAAAGTAAATCAATATATCGAAGTGATATCTGCACTCGTATGATTGGTGCAGCACTCTTCACAGTAGCCAAGATGTGGAGTCAACCTACCTGCCCATCAGTGGGTGAATGGATAGAGAGAATGTGGTACATTTGCATAGTGGAGACTACTCTTCCATAGAAAGAATAACATCCTGATATTTGCAGCCACATGGATGGAACTGGAGGTCATTACAAAGATTCCCATTTCTTACCCATATACAGGAGCTAAAAGGTGGATCTCATGAAGGTAGAGAGTAGAATGGTGGCTACCAGAGGCCAGGAAGAAAAGGGTGGAGGGTAAAAAAAAATATATGTGTATATATATATATATTAATGTATTTATGACCACTAGACTTTACACTTAAAAATGGTAAATGTGGCTGGGCGTGGTGGCTCATGCCTGTAATCCCAGCACTTTGGGAGGCAGATGCGGGTGGATCACGTGGTCAGGAGTTCGAGACCAGCTTGACCAACATGGTGAAACCCCCTCTCTACTAAAAATACAAAAAGTAGCCTGGCATGGTGGTGCGCGCCTGTAGCACCAGCTACTCAGGTGGCTGAGGCAAGAGAATCGCTTGAACCCAGGAGGCGGAAGTTGCAGTGAGCTGAGATTGTGCCAATGCACTCCAGCATAGGGGACAGAGCTAGACTCCGCCTCAAAAAAAAAAATGTTAAAGGTGGTAAGCTATATAGTTATATTTATCCTCAATAAATATTTCTCAAACAAAAGTAAACGGTGTAGGGGTTGCAGGTGATGACATCCCTGTGTGGGTGGGAGGCCAGGATGGGCTTCTGGGAAATGGGTAATGTTGAGGGGCTGAGGGAACCTCTGATCTTCCCAAACTGAGCCCAGTCTCCCTCCTCTGGGTCTCTCCTGACCGCTTTCTCCATCTGCCTGGGTGCCTGGAGTCCTGGCCGCAGGCCTTCATGCAGGCCATGTAGGAGGGTTTGGAGGTGCCCTGTCTGCCATCCTGTGCCCTGATCCCTCCCTCACACCCAAGCTTCGTCTTCTCTCTGCATCTGTTCATCCTTCTCTCCATCCTCAGCAGGAAGCTCCTCAGCTAAGGCTCTAGGATCATAGGACATGGGACAGCCATGGGCTTTCCTCACCTGTGACAGAAACAAGCAGTGGGTCACTCGAGTTTGACCACTCGTAGGGAGAGTCACGGAAAGAGCCGAAGCATCTGTAGGTTCCTCCGTGGGTGGCAGGGCCCAGAGGAAAGTCAGCCTGGAATGTTCCGTTGACCTTGGTCCCTGCAGAGAACCTACGTTCATGGGCCTCCCCCTCCGTGGATAGATGGTACATGTCATAGGAGCTCCGGGAGCTGCAGGACAAGGTCACGCTCTCTCCTGCCAGAACCGTGGGGCCCGGCTGGGCTGAGAGAGAAGGTTTCTCATATAGACCTGGAAGGAGAAGAGGCATTTTCCTTACGGAGGCTCTTCCTTGTCACAGCTCCCTTCACCTGAGCTGAGAACTCACTCCCCTGCTCTATGACCTAATGCTCTCTCTCTCTCTCTCTCACCCTCCACCCCATCTCTCTTCATGTCTATTTCCTCCTTCCACCTTCTCTGTCTCTCTAGGTCTCTGACCTCGCTTCCACACCTCTAGATATGTTTTCCCTTTTTGGATTGTTTTATTCTCTCTGACTCTCCTTGGATTGGTTCACTTGATGTTACTTTTTTAAATTCTAAGTTTCTCACTTTGTGTCCTGTTCATAACTTTCTGCATATTTCTATCTATTATCTGTCGATCTATCTATTTATCTATTCGGTGCCTATCTACAAATTCTCTACCTGTCATCTATATCTATATATCATCTATGTATCTATCACTTGTCTATCTATCCATCAATCATCTGTTATCTATATCTATGTATCATCTCTCTCTCTATGACTTCTGTCTGCCTCTCTATCTCTATGTATTATCTATCTGTCTTCATCATCATCATCTCTATGTCTCATCTATTAATGAATCAATCAATCATCATCTATGTATCTTTAACCTATTATCTATCATCTACCTATTTATCATCTATCTATATCTAACCATCTATCATCTGTCTTGCTCTGCCTCTCGGTCTCTCTAGTTCTCTTTGGAATCTCTGCAATTCATCCCCACATCTCCATCTTTCTATGTCCTTGTGCCTCTCCCTCAGGACTCTAATTTTAGTGCTTTTCTCTGCTCCCTTCCATCATTCTCACCACTCCTCTGCCCTCTTTTCTCTCTCTTTATGTGTCTGTGAGTCTCTCAATCTCCTTCCTCTGGCTCATTCTCTGTGTGTTTATGTCTTTGCTTTTTGGTGTCCCTGATTTCTCTCTGTGCCTCTCAGTGATCCTTTCATATGTGGGGTTATTTGGAATGTGAGCCTCAGAATCCAGTCTGGAGACCACAAGTTCACACAGCATACAGGGGTTGGTGTTCTGGGGCCATGATATCCTGGGACGGTTACTCTCCATTACATGGAAGGCAGAGGTGTGAGAATAAACACGGCATCTGTAGGTGCCACAAGGCCTGAGGCCACAGGGCCCAACTCAGGTCAGAAATATGGGTGTCCTTGGGTTCTCCTGGTAGAGAACACTTTGTGGAGGTAAAACAGAAATGAAACTTCTAACCTGTGCCAGGTCTCTGAGCAAAGTCAGCATGGAGGGACACCTCTCTCTGGGACATGTCTGTCTGTCTGTCTCCTTTAACTCCTTCTGTCTTTTCTAACTCCCGGTATGGCCCCTGTGTCTGTCCTCTGTTATGACACCTGGTCTGTACTTGTGTCTCCTGTTTCTCTGTCTCTGTTGGTACAGACCTCACCAAGTCAGTCTCTCTCCATAAGAATACCAAGCTCATCTTCCTTACAACTACCTGGGGGTTCCAAGTCGTGGATCATTCACTCTGCATCCCAATGACAATGAGAAGAATGTCCGGACACTCTCACCTGTGATGACGATGTCCAGAGGGTCACTGGGAGCTGACAACTGATGGGGGAGTGAGTAACAGAACCGTAGCATCTGTAGGTCCCTGCCAGGTCTTCCATCATGGGACCGATGGAGAAGTTGGCCTTGGAGACCCCATCATGGTGCTCTCCAGTGAGGTGCAAAGTGTCGTTAAATGTCCCCTCTCTGTGCAGAAGGAAGTGCTCAAACCTGACATCTGACCAACATTGCAGGATGACTGTCTCTTCTGATTTCACCAGGGGACCTGGGTGGGCCAGGAGGGAAGGTTTTCTGTGGACTCCTAGGAAGAGAGGTTGTGAGTTTAGAAGGTGTCTCTCTTTATCATCCCATCCATGGCACCTAGAATGAGTGAGGCTTCCCCTTGCTGGTGTCTGTCTCTCTCCTTCCTCTCTGTGTCTTCATGTTCTTTTCTGTGCCCATAACTCCTGGTGCAGGTCCTTCCATCTGTCTCCCTCCCTCTTCTCTGTCTCTCTGTCTCTAGTCGCCTCTGATTCCCTTCCCACTGGGCTTAGCCTCATCTCTTGGGGTGTTGTATCTATTTCACACTAATGTCTTTCCTGCTGTTTATGTGGGGGTGAAAGAGGAACCAGGATAGGCTGCACATCCAGCCTCTTATCAGCCTGGTTCAATCTCTTTTGGATGAATTGGAATCCTTGGCAGGAGGTATGAACTGATGAATAAGGCAGGCAGCAGTGTCCACACACCCTGTTCCTGGTCGGGACTGGGAGCCACTCTTGCCATGCCTGTGCCTTCTCCATGGTGCCAGCTTCCATAGGCTGGCTCCTGGTGCTGGTTTGAGGAGTATCAACCCCTCCCTATGTGGATGGAGCCTGGTGGTGGCATCATCATCCCACACTTGCTGATCTAGGTGTAGCCAACCTTCCCCTTGTTTGGTTCCTTTAATTAATTAATTAATTATGGAGATCAGAGTCTCACTCCTTCACCCCAGCTGGAGTGAAGTGGTGTGGTCTAGGGTCACTGCAACTTCTGTCTCCTGGGTTCAAGTGATTCTCCTGCCCTCAGCCTCCCAAGTCGCTAGGATTACATGCGCCTGCCACCACACCCGGCTATCCTTGTGTTGTTTCTTAACTTGTCCTTGACCTGGGTTCCAGTGTTGGTTTCCTGTTGCTGCTGTAGAAAATTATCAGCAGCATGGCAGCAGGAGAGAGCACACTGACCCATTTCACTACTGGAGACAGAAATAGGACCCTGTTTTTCCTGGGCTAAAATCAAGGCATCTGCAGGGCTTCGTTCCCTCTGGAGACTCTGGAGAATCATTTCCTTGACTTTTCCAGCCTCTACAGGCCACCTGCATTCATGGCTCCTGGACTTCCTCCACCTTCAAAGCTGGTGGAGTCTCCCATTGCGCTGCTCTAATCCCCACTCCCCTCTTCCTCCTCCTTTCATGTGGACCCTTGTGATTACACTGAGCCCAGCGGGACAGTCCAGGCTGTCTCCCCATCTCAAGGTCAACTCATCAACAACCTGAGCTCCATCTTCCCCTTCAGTTCCTTCCCCTATAACATAAATAGTCACAGACTCCAGGGATTAGAATGTAGTCATCACTGGGGACAATTATTCTTCCCACCACAGCACCCATTTCCCTGTATTCAATCCCCCTTTACCCCAAATATAGTCAGGGCCTGGGTGATGGGACCCTCAAGGACACGCCCACCAGAAGCTCTGGGATTCAGGAGGTGGGAAAGGAGAATCCAAGACAGGAGCCCTCTGACCTGTGGCCATGATCACCAGGGGGTTGCTGGGTGCCGACCACCCACTGGGGGAGTGTGGGTGTGAACCCCGACATCTGTACGTCCCTGTGTGTGCTGGGGTCACAGGGCCCATGAAAAGGCTCTTCCAGAATATTCTGTTGTAGAGCTCAGTGCCAGGCACCCCATCTTCCTTTTACAGACTGAAGTTGTTAAACCCAAGATAAGAATGACACCGAAGAATCACATGTCCTGGAGGCACCACAGAGCTGGGCCAGGCAGACAGCAAGGGCTTGTCCTGACCACCTTGGGGAGAAGGAGGCACCGCCTTAGAGAGGAGGATGTGGAGCCACCCCTCCCTCCCTGTGCTCTGAAGATTCTCCTCGCTTTCCAAGTTTCTATGGCTGCTATCACACCTTGGTGCCCAGGGCTAAAGGAAGGACCCATCCCGCAAACACAAGGTGTCTCCCTACAACAAAAGTGTCAGCTGAGAACTTTGAGCAAGTGCTGAGTAAGAGACTCCTACTAGATTTTAATACTGTAAGATTACTCACATAAAACAACACAGGGTAGACATGGGGTGGAGGGCATGTCCTTTGAGAATGGAATATCAGCCGATGCCTGAATGAAAATAAGCAACTGAGCCCCCATCAGAGGATTTGGAATGTCAGGGCCATGGCTGTGGTTTCCCACCTCTTCTGGTGGAGTGACAGCAGCCACACTGCAGCCCCTACCGTCATGGAAACGCTGAAGTGTGAGTAACACCTTTGTCCTCAGAGGATCTGCTGTTCCTACCACTTCCCCACCACACACCCCAGCTTTGAGCACCCCAGTCTAACCCTGGTCCCCACAGAACTTGACTCTGCCAAGGGAATGAAAGGCCAGGGAGGCGAGGTCGGAACTGTGGGCCGAGCACCCCAGGGTCCCCTCTTCCTAGTTTATGAGAGGCTCCCCGACAGGACTTCCCTCCTGTTTCAGGAAAATCCTCTTATGTGGGGAGATGACACCCGAAGGTTTGGAGAAGGACTCACCCTCATGTGGCCAGGCCCCCTGCAGCAAGAAGAACCCTGGAAAGAAAGATCATGATGGACCATCCATCTGCAGGCGAACCAGCCCTCCCTTGCTGCCCTCACTGGGCTGTGAGTCTTGGTAGGCAGGCCCTTCCTGGGCTGAAGTTAAACTCACCCTCAGTGCCTACCTGCACCCAAGAACAGGGCTGTCGGCTGTGCAGAGACCCAGCCTCCAAGCCCAGATCCCCACCACAAGCCCATATCCCCACCAGAAGCCCATATCTCCACTCCAGGCCAATATTTCCACCCTAGGCCTGTATCTCCACTCCAGGCCCATATCTCCACTCCAGGCCGATATTTCCATCATAGGCCCATATCGCCAATCCAGGCCCATATCGCCAATCCAGGCCAAGATCTTCACTGTAAGCCCATATCTCCAATCCAGGCCCATATCTCCACTCCAGGCTCAGATCTCCACCCTAGGCCCATATCTCCAATCCAGGCCCATATCTCCACACCAGGCCCATATCTCTACTGAAGGCCAGTAACTCCACCTCCAGGCCCATATCTCCACTCCAGGCCCAGATCTCCACCCCAAGCCCATATCTCCACCCCAGGCCCATATCTCTACTGAAGGCCCGTAACTCCACCTCCAGGCCCATATCTCCACCCCAGGCCCAGATCTCCACCCCAAGCCCATATCTCCACTCTAGGCCCATATCTCCTCTCCAGTCCCATATCTCCACAACCAGGCCCATATCTCCATCCTAGGCCCATATTTCCACTCTAGGCCCAGATATCCACCTCTAGGCCCATATCTCCACTCCTGGCCCAAATCTCCACTCCAGGCCCATATCTCTACTATAGGCCTATAACTCCACCTCCAGGCCCATATCTCCACTCCAGGCTCCTATCTCCCCTCCAGGTTCCTATCGGCACTCCAGGCCCAGATCTCCACTTCTAGGCCCATCACTCCATCTCTAGGCCCATATATCCACTCCAGGCCCAGATCTCCACTCCAGGCCCACAACTCCACCTCCAGGCCTATATCTCCACCTCTGGGCCCAGATCTCCAACCCCACACTCCCTTCCTCTATTCCCTTCCAGGACTCACCAACACACGCCATGCTGACGACCGTGAGCGACATGGTGCTGCCGGTGCAGACAGGCGGCCGCGCCCCAGCTCAGCTCAGCAGCGCACAGGATGTTATTTGGCGCCCTGCCCATGCAGTTTACATGTTGACCACATCATGGGAGGGTGACGTACGCAGGCTCATTCTACCTTGCATGAGGCCCAGTGGGTGCTCGCTCAAGAGCGGAACACGGCTTCCTGGAAATTGTTCTCACTAGAATTTACACCTAGCGTCCTTCACTATGACCAACTCAAAACACGTCTCAGATCCAACCTCCTGAACACGAGATGCCTAAAATCTGTGCTAACGTGAAAGACTTTTCATGTATTTTTATTGTTTTTATCTGAGATTCAAACTCTTCTTCATGTGTAATATGCAAAATATCTAATAGGTATTATTAAGGTTTTCAGAGTCATTGTGACTAATAAACCATTAGAATTTTTCATGCTTGTATTTCTAGTATTACAGCAGAACCAGTTAAAATGATTTAAATTCCCAGGGAAGGATTATGCAATTATTTACAATCTTTGAATTGTACGTTATCAGCAAAAACCACACATTTAAACTCTGGATTTTTGTAGATTTATCTAAAATTTGTCTCATGACCCAAGTTTCCAGAGTCCCAACTCTGGAGTTTGTTCTCTCTCTGTCTCTCTGCCTCCCTCATTTTAAATTTTACAGAAATATCCAGTAACATAATGCTATAGAAAATCAAGTTTCCCCCAGCACGTCGGGAAGCCGAGGTGGGCGGATCAACTGATATAAGGAGTTTGAGAGCAGCCTGGCAACACAGTGAAACCGTGTCTCTGCTAAAAATCCAAAAATTAGCCGTGCCCAGTGGCAGGAACTTGTAACGCCAGCTACCCAAGAGGCTGAGGCACGAGAATCGCTTGAACCTGGGAGGCGGAGGTTGCAGTGAGCTGAGATTGCACCACTGCAGTCCAGCCTGGGCGACAGAGCAAGACTCCGCCTCAAGAAAATAAAAATAGCAAATAGCCTATAATAACAAATTAGAGGCCTCTGGCTACTAAATTTAAAGGGTTCTATGGGGCTACATAAAGTGGAGCATCCTCAAGAATGTGGACACAGAGAGCCGTTTAGCAGAGACAGTGTCTAAAATACACATCCGTGTACACACAGTCCCTTTTTAGTTGACAAAGCTGCCGTGTGGTTTAAGGTGGCATAGAATGTCTTCTCAATAAATAATATTAAACCAAAGGGTTACACATAGGAAATAATAAATCTAAACTTATTCTCACACTATAAAAACACTTCTTAGTTTTTATCTAGTTATTGTACATTTTTTATGATTTATATTTAAATTTGAGAAATAAAAGTCCTATACCGTCATCCTTCACTATTCATGGGTGATTGGTTTCGAGATCTCCACTCAGATACTAAAATCTGCAGATGCTCAAGCCTCTTACGTAAAATGACACAGCATTTGGATATAACCCATGCACATCCTCCTGTATACATGAAATCATCTCTTGATTACTTATAATTCCTGATACAGCCTATACACCACCTCATTTGTGTGCATTCAACACAGTTTTGCTTTTTGGAACTTTGTGGGCTTTTTCTCTGAATATTTTTGATTTATACTTGGTTCAATAAACACCTGTAAACCCCACAGATACGGAGGAGCGACTGTATATTTATAGTATGAAAGATGATGCGTTGACATGTGTCCCCGTGGAGATGAGACTAACAAGGCCTATGACTCTACAAATGTTTCATCATGGAATGACTCTGCCAGCTTTCCAGGTCTGCAGAGAGTAAGAATATCACTTGTTCATGTGATTCACGATCCTTGGAACTTCCTATGTGCTGCATCTTTGGATGGAAATTGGAGTCTCAGAGACAAGTCAGGGTCCACCCTGTTCCAGAAGCTCAGAGTCCAGGGGTGAGAACCCAGTGGAGAACAGATGGGGTTATGTGGACATGGTAATGATAACACCGGAAGCCTTAGGAAAGAAAAGAGTCCCATTACCGAAACGATGAGGGCAGACATGTTTATTTGAAGGAGGGAAAACTACATTGAAATTACTAAAAACAATTTATAAGTTTTACTGCTGACAGAAGGCTGAAAGATAGTCTGAGGGGAGGTGGAACTGCATGAGGGAAGGTGGAACAGCACGTGTCTAAGTGCCGTGTTAAGAGGGAGCCTCTTGTATGTTTGGAATTGTGAGTTCCTCAGTGTGATTGCAGCCTCAAGTAGACTAGGAAGTAAGCCAGTTAGGTTGGAGAGGTGGGCAGGGGTCAAGTGAAATGGAGAATTGTGGGCTAAGCAAAGGAGTGTGTTTTCTCTGCAGCAGGCAGTGGGGACCTTAGACATTTGTAAGCAAGAGAGAGGCATGTTCAGATTCGTGGTGTGAGGAAGAGCGATGCCCTAAGATGAAGACTGATGCCTTCAGATTCCAGCTGCTGGTACATGGGAGCTGGCAACCCGGTTTTGAGACAGGGCTGTTGTCTCCCTAGAAGATCCCCTCAAGGCCTGACTGTGGTGCTCGTGGACAGAAGACAGCTTTGGATCTGGACTCAGCATTTGGAAGTTCTATGTACATGCTGCTATCTGTTGGGGGTGTCTTGGGCCTCTGAGAAGGGGGAGTGATTTTTCTCTGTGTGAAAACACAGTGATCCAATTATGCGTATGACACCTCCTGATGGTCCTGTTCATCAGAATCCTGGAGAGAGGGAAATGCTGAGTGAGGGAGGGTGCTCACATTTTTCAGGACTCTTTGGGAATAAGACTAGCCACGAGGCTGGGCCGAGGAGCACCTACCTCCCTGTTCACTGTTCTGTTCCCCGCAGGCCCTTGGTCCATTACAGATGCATCTGTAGAAGATGGAAGTCAACAAAACAGCTCGGAGGGCACTTCTGGGTCCTCATTTCATAAGCAGATACCAACAAACAGGGGGAGGCCATAGGTGCCTGAGGTCCCTCAGTTGCCAACAGCAGACTCAGACATTCTATCTCTCTGAGCTCAAGGACCCATCCCATGAATAGCTCTGAGTTCCCATCCCATTGATTCTATCTCCCACTTTCTGCCTGTCATGGAACCTTCTCCTGGATGTGAGTGGCTGCAGGGGACGTGAGGGTACAGTTCAGAATCAGGCAATGGTCTGTGAGCTGAAGGCAGGGGCAGGGAGTCTGGTGCTCTCTCTAGAAAGTCCTGCCTCTGTGGCTCCTGTCTTGGGCCAGGGACCATCCTGCCTGTGAGGAACACACACCCACGTGCTAACATCCTGCTTCCCCACATGGCCCTGAGCTCTCTGGCCTCTGCTTCGTGAGACTTACTTTTTTTGTCGGAGCACCAGCGATGAAGGAGAAAGAAGAGGAGGATGGTGAAAGGGAGTTTGACCACTGAGGTCCCAATCAGAACGTGTAGGTGTCTGGGGTTACCTGGAAGAAGAGGAGACACCAATAAGAAGCTAATCATAGCAGTTCCTCTTTATGAATTGTCTCGCATTTCTTGATTGACAGGTAACCACATACAACGTCTCTTTAGGACAAGCACCCAAATGGTGGGAGACCTAGCTTTCCCCTGCTTTCTCAGTTATAGCTCTCATAGTAACCATAGAACGTGCTGAGGATACAACTACTTTAGTTGAGATGTCTGACCCCTTCAAACCTCACATGGAAATTTCACCCCCAGTGTGGGAGGTTGGGCCTCTTGGGAGGTGTTTGGGTCATGGAGGTGGATCCATCATGAACAGAACAATGCTGTCCCAAGGAGACGGGGTTAGCAAGTTCCCCCTCTATTAGTTCCTGGAGAGCTGGTTGTTCAAAAGAGCTTGGAAGCTCCATCGCTCCCCCTCCCCCTTACTCTCTCTCTTGCCGTGTGATCTCTGCGGTCTCTGCACAGACAGACCCTCCTTCCCTTCTGCCAGAGTGGGAGCAGCCTGAGGCCGTCACAAGAAATAGATTCTGGTACCATGCTTCCAGTACAGCCTGCAGAACGGTGAGGCAAACCGATCTCTTTTCTTTAGAAGTTACCGAGGCTCAAGTTTTCCTTTAGAGCAACAAAAAAAAACTACGACAGCAACGTACTGAGATCAGGAGGAATGTCTCAGAACAGCCTGGGCTGTCTTCCTGTTCTTCCTGGAGGAAGGCGTCATGCAGTGCTTTAGCTGAGTGCTTCCTGTGGCTCCAGGGTACAAAACCCAGGCTGGGCTGCTTTCTGGCTTCCCCCAGCTACACTGCAAATGGGGTGACTCCATATGTCCCGAGCAGCTTTTCTGAGCCTTGAGGGACTGGCTCACATTGAAATGTAGGCTTCTGTTGTCACTCGCTGCTTATCTGTTAGTAATGAACCTGCCTGTGTAATGTATTCTCTGTGTGTTCTGTCTCCCTGGAGTGACGGTGAGTGATAGGAATTGGCATAGGCCCAGGTGCAGTCCAGGAGGTGTTTAGAGTCTTCTCTGGGAAGACTGCACTGGGATTGATACACAGCGAATGTGCTTTAGGATTTCTACATCCAGGGCATTCTTGAGTCAAACAACTTGCATTCTCCAAGAAAAGGAAACAAAAGTGAAATCAAGATAAAAAAAGCGAAGTAGAATTCTCTTATGTCAAATGGCCAGGAAACAGTGTTGAAGCCCATGTGAAACGTGCTACTCTTTGTGATCTCCGGAGACACATGTTAGGCTGCTGTTCTACCCCAGAGGCTGGGGGAAGGACCACCCCCTCGGCCATCTATTGCTTCAATACCACCTGTCCTCCTGTGAATTAGTAGGAAAGGGGAGCAGGAGCTAGTGCTGACGCTGATCTCTGATTCCAAGATCTGGACTCACTCCAAGGAGTATTAGAATTTACCTCCCCATGGTCTATCTGAATCTCCACAGATGATTGGAAGTAGGGGTGAGGTGGGGGATTTGGGTGAGAGGGCATGTTTTTTTTGTGATGAACAGAGCACTTTGTGTATTCCAGGATCTGTGCTGGAGGATTCAGCGGGCTTTCACATTTTCTATATGATCTCATGCTCACAGAAAGCCAAATACGGAAGAGGTTTTAGGCTCATTGCCTAATGGATAAGATAAAAGATCAAAGAAGTAATTATAGAGAAATAGAAAAATCATGATTGGAATTCAGGTCCCTTTGTCATTTGCGTGTGTTATATTATATTTATATTTATGCATTTCTTATTTTTATTTTTTGAGACGGAGTCTCCTTGTGTCACCCAGGCTGGAGTGCAGTGATGCAATCTCCACTCACTGCAACCTCCACCTCCTGGGTTGAAGTCATTCTCCTGCTTCATCCTCCAGAGTAGGAGCTGGGATTACAGGGATGCACCACCATGCTCGGCTAATTTTTGTGTTTTTCCTAGAGACAGGGTTTCACCAGGTTGGCCAGGCTGGTCTCGAACTGCTGACTTCATGTGATCCACCCTCCTTGGCCTCCTGCAGTGCTGGGTTACAGGCGTGAGCCACCGTTCACAGACTTGTATATTATGCTATAATAGGTCCCTTCATTTCCACCACCACTCATATATCTGTCACTCCTTTGCCAGGTATTGATTTATGTGTAGTAGGAATAAAGCTCAGAAAGAAATTAAGCGAGGATTAGACAACTAGGAAAATCATACCCAGCAAGCCTTTCCAGCCAATGATTCCACCTCACAAGCATAGCTTATATCCATCTGCTTCACCCAGTTAGGGTCTAAATCAGCACCACATTTCACCAGTGAGGCGGGAATTGCCTTTTCCACAGTCTCCTAGATTCTAGTTACGCACCTGGGCCTCCCTTATTTTCATGTCAGTCATATTAATCATGTAGGGATTCCTGGTTACCCCGAGGTGAATCCAATGGCTGTGAGTGTCAAACACACACTCCTTGTTGCTCCTTAGTTTCCTGTGTACCCAGTGTGCTCTCCGTCTCTCCACAGTCGTCTTGTCATTCTCCCCACGTCATTCCCAGCATTTGAGGAAGAGCCTCTTCCTTCAACATCAGATTATTTTCACCTTTGTGCGTTCACGGCTGACAGCTGTGTGTGGAAAATCCTTCCACCAATCTTTCAGGGGTTCAATCCGTGTTTTTCATTAATGTCACAAATATCTGATTAGTGAGATCTTCTCTGTCACCCAAAATCATACACTCAGCATTATGTATTATTTATTTTAAATTCTGGCTGGGCACAGTGGCTCACGCCAGTTATCCCAGTACTTTAGGATGCTGAGACGGTCGGATCACTTGAGGTTGGGAGTTTCAGAGAAGCTTGGCGAAGATGGTGAAACATCCTCTACAAAAAATATACAAAAAGAATTAGCCGGGCATGGTGGCAGTTGCCTGTAATCCCAGCTACTTGAGAGGCTGACGCAAGAGAATCACTTGGATCCAGAAGGTGCAGGTTGCAGTGAGCCAAGATGGTGACACTGCACTGTAGCCTGGAAGACAGAGGGCGACTCTGTCTCAATAAACAAATGAAGAAACAAACAAATAGATTTCATACACAGATGCTTCCCAATGGATCATTCATTTATTGGTCCACTTGTGCATTCATTTTCTGCCCTCCCATTTAACCATCTGCAATATCAGTGTCCCAAGAGCAGAGGCCAAATGCATCTTGTTCACTGTTTGTGGAAGGTAGGAGAATGCTGTCCCACCCCAAAATGTCCCTGTCCTAGCCTCCATAGCTTGTGAATATCTTATTTTACATGGAAAGGAGGAATGAAGATTGCAGATGGAATTATGGTTGCTAATCAGCTGAACTTAAAACAAGGGTATCCTGAATGATTTCCGGGAGATTATGATGGATTTTCATCTTGGTGAACCCAATAGAATCCCCAAGTTTTCAAAAGATGAGGAAGAAGGGAGAGCAGCATTCAGAGAAAGAGGTGTGGTAAGGAAGAAGGGTCTGAGTGATGCCATGTGAGATGTGACCAGCCTTTGTGGGCTTTGAGGAAGGAGGAAGGGGACCAGGAGCGAAGGAATGTGGGAGCCTCTAGAAGCTGAGAAAAGTGAGAAGCAGATTCTTGCCTGGAATCCTCAGAGGGAAGGCAGCCTTGCTGTCACCTTGATTTTAGCCCAGTGAGATGCACTTCATACTTTGAGCTACAGCACTGCAAGATAATTAAAAAACCGTTTTGTTTTCACCCACGAATCTTGTGGAAATTTGTTATGGCAACAATAGGAAAAGCTTCCACACTGCACAGCCTGAGCATGGGGCCGTGGCTGAATGAGTCAGTGAGTCGAAGTGTGCGTGCATGAGCTCTGTTCTCTGTTACAGCAAGGCTCTTTCTCTGCTGAGTCAGCCAGGGTTGCTTCATGACCTACAGGAGCTCATTCCTTGGCAAGTGGAACTTCTCTAAAACACCTCGCCCTCATCAGATGTTCCCTTCCCTTCCCTCTCTCAAGTCTCCAGGAATTTATCCTCCAGTTAGGAATGCAGGCAGAACAAACATTGCATTTTTCCTGAGAAGGATGTCAGATTGGCAATCATTCTTCTAGCTTGTAGGAGGTCTCAGCTCCATAAAATGAGAGATGAAGAGATTTCACTGAGCCCTGTGTTGGGCCCAGATCCCTTTCGCTGTAGGAGTATCTGGAGTTCGGAGATGGTGGAAGACAGGGGTACAATGTCAGAGCTGTGAGATGCTGAGTCAACGCCTGAATCCAAGGTTTCCACCTCCCCAGGTTTCCAAAAGCGGATATAAGAGGGTTCTGTACTCACCGGTTTTGGAGCTTGGTTCAGTGGGTGAAGGCCAACTATTTGAAGGGTTTCCTAGAATATGAGACAGGAGAGAGGTGAGGAAATGAGGGTGTCTGTCCTCTACTCAGTGGAAATCTTTGAGGATGGTTCATGGCCAACACTCTGTTATCTAATATTGGGCCCTGGGAGTCCTGGGATCCTTTTTTCCATAATTTTTGTATGTGACGCCCACTGTCTTGAGACTTCAAGGTATAAAGAGAAAACAGGAGCATCACACTACCTGATCTCAAAATATGTTACAGAGCTGTAGTAAGCAAAACAGCATGACATTGGCATAAAGAAAGGCACATAGAACAATGGAGCAGAATGAATAACACAGATATATTCCATGCATTTACATCCAATGGTTTTTTATTTTTTCTTTTGAGATGGAGTCTTGCTCTGTCACTCAGGCTGGAGTGCAGAGGTGCAATCTCAGTTCACTGCAACCTCAGCCTCCTGGGTTCAATCATTCTCTTGCCTCAAACTCCTGAGTAGTGGTATTACAGGTGCTGACCACCATGCTCAGCTAATTTTTATATTTTTAGTGGAGACGATGTTTCATCACGTCGGCCAGACTGATCTTGAACTCCTGGCCTCAGGTAATCCACCCGCCTCGGCCTCCCAAAGTGCTGGAATTGCAGGTGTGAGCCACCAAGCCCAGCCCATCCAATGGACTTTGACAAAGGTGCCAAGAACTCACAATCAGGAAAGGACAGTCTTTTCAATAAACAGTGCAGGGAAACCTGGACATCTACATGCAGAGGAATGAAACTGCACCTCTACCTGTCACCATACACAAAAATCAAATGAAAATGGATTAAAGATGTGAGTCTAAGGCCTGAACCTATGAAACACGTAGAAGAAATATTGGGGAAATGCTCCAGGACGTTTGTCTGAAGGAAGACATTTTGTTTTAAACCTTGAAAACACAAGTAATCGAAGCAAAAATAGACCATTGGGATTACCTCAAACTAAGCAACTTCTGCACTGCTAAAAATAAACCAACAAAGTGAAGAGACAACCCACAGATTGGGAGCAAATATGTGCAAACTATGCATCTGAGATGGGATTAATAACTAGAAATATAAGAAGCTCAAACAACTCAATAAAACAAATGATTTAATTGAAAAAGGAGCAAAAGACATGAAATTTCCCCACATATGAAAAAGTGCTCAGTATCACTCATCATCAGAGAAATGCAAATTAAAATCAAAGTGAGTTTTCATCTCACCCCATTAAAATGGCTTTTAGGCCGGGTGAGGTGGCTCACGTCTGTCATCCTAGAACTTTGAGAGCCTGAGGTGGGTGAATCTCATAAGGTCGGGAGTTTGAGACCAGTATGACCCACATAGAGAAACGCTGTCTCTACTAAAAATACAAAAATTAGTCGGGCGTGGTGGCGTGTGCCTGTAATTCCAGCTACTCGGGAGGCTGAGGCAGGAGAATCGCTTGAACCTGGGAGGTGGAGGTTGTGGTGAGCCGAGATAGCGCCACTGCACTCCAGCCTGGGTGAGAAGAGCAAAACTCCATCTCAAAATAAAATGAAATAAATAAAATGGCTTTTAGCTGCAAGACAGGCAAAAGAAATGCTGGCAAAGTGCTAGAGAAAGGAGAACCCTGGTACCCTGTTGGGAGGAGTGTAAATTAGTACAGCGATTACGGAGAAAAGTATGGAAGTCCTTTAAAGAACTAAAAAGAGGTTGGGTGTGGTGGATCAGGCCTGTAATCCCGGCACTTTGGGAGACTGAGGCGGGCACCTCAGTTGAGGTCATGAGTTTGAGAGCAGCCCAGCCAACATGGGGAAACCGCATCTATACTAAAAAAACCAAAAAGTAGCCAGGCATGGTGGCGTGCACCTGTAATCCCAGCTACTAGGGAGGCTGAGGCAGGAAAATCATTGGAACCCAGGAGGCGGAGGTTGCAATGAGCCAAGGTCGCACCACTTTGACTCCAGCTTGGGCTAAGGAGGGAAACTCTTTCTCAAAAAAGAAAAAAAAAAAAAAGAGAACTTTCATAGTATCCAGCAATTTCACTACTGGGTTTATATCCAAAGGAAAGTAAATCAATATATCGAAGTGATATCTGCACTCGTATGATTGGTGCAGCACTGTTCACAGTAGCCAAGATGAGGAGTCAACCTACCTGCCCATCAGTGGGTGAATGGATAGAGAGAATGTAGTACATACGCACAGTGGAGACTACTCATCCATAGAAAGAATAACATCCTGTCATTTGCAGCCACATGGATGGAACTGGAGGTCATTACAAAGATTCCCATTTCTCACCCATATACAGGAGCTAAAAGGTGGATCTCATGAAGGTAGAGAGTAGAATGGTGGCTACTGGAGGGCAGGAAGAAAAGGGTGGAGGGTAAAAAAAATGTATATATATATATATATATATAAATGTATTTATGACCACTAGACTTTACACTTAAAAATGGTAAATGTGGCTGGGCGTGGTGGCTCATGCCTGTAATCCCAGCACTTTGGGAGGCAGATGCGGGTGGATCACGTGGTCAGGAGTTGCAGACCAGCTCGACCAACATGGTGAAACCACCTCTCTACTAAAAATACAAAAAGTAGCCTGGCGTGGTGGTGCGCACCTGTAGCACCAGCTACTCAGGTGGCTGAGGCAGGAGAATCGCTTGAACCCAGGAGGCGGAAGTTGCAGTGAGCTGAGATTGTGCCACTGCACTCCAGCATAGGGGACAGAGCTAGACTCTGCCTCAAAAAAAAAAAAATGTTAAAGGTGGTAAGCTATATAGGTATATTTATCCTCAATAAATATTTCTTCAAACAAAAGTAAAGGGTGTAGGGGTTGCTGGTGATGACATCTCTGTGTGGGTGAGAGGCCAGGATGGGCTTCTGGGAAATGGGTAAGGTTGAGGGGCTGAGGGAACCTCTGATCTCCCCAAACTGAGCCCAGTCTCCCTCCTCTGGGTCTCTCCTGACCGCTTTCTCCATCTGCCTGGGTGCCTGGAGCCCTGGCTGCGGGCCTCCATGCAGGCCATGTAGGAGGGTTTGGAGGTGCCCTGTCGGCCATCCTGTGCCCTGATCCCTCCCTCACACCGAGGATGCATCTTCTCTCTGCATCTGTCCATGCTTCTCTCCATCCTCAGCAGGAAGCTCCTCAGCTAAGGCTCTAGGATCATAGGACATGGGACAGCCATGGGCTTTCCTCACCTGTGACAGAAACAAGCAGTGGGTCACTTGACTTTGACCACTCGTAGGGAGAGTCATGGAAAGAGCCGAAGCATCTGTAGGTTCCTCCTTGGGTGGCAGGGCCCAGAGGAAAGTCGGCCTGGAATGTTCCGTTGACCTTGGGCCCTGCAGAGAACCTACGTTCATGGGCCTCCCCCTCCGTGGATAGATGGTACATGTCATAGGAGCTCCAGGAGCTGCAGGACAAGGTCACGCTCTCTCCTGCCAGAACCGTGGGGCCCGGCTGGGCTGAGAGAGAAGGTTTCTCATATAGACCTGGAAGGAGAAGAGGCATTTTCCTTATGGAGGATCTTCCTTGTCACAGCTCCCTTCACCTGAGCTGAGAACTCACTCCCCTGCTCTATGACCTAATGCTCTCTCTCTCTCTCTCTCACCCTCCACCCCATCTCTCTTCATGTCTATTTCCTCCTTCCACCTTCTCTGTCTCTCTAGGTCTCTGACCTCGCTTCCCCACCTCTAGATATGTTTTCCGTTTTTGGATTGTTTTATTCTCTCTGACTCTCCTTGGATTGGTTGACTTGATGTTACTTTTTTAAATTCTAAGTTTCTCACTTTGTGTCCTGTTCATAACTTTCTGCATATTTCTATCTATTATCTGTTGATCTATCTATTTATCTATTCGGTGCCTATCTACAAATTCTCTACTTGTCATCTATATCTATATATCATCTATGTATCTATCACTTGTCTATCTATCCATCAATCATCTGTTATCTATATCTATGTATCATCTCTCTCTCTATGACTTCTGTCTGCCTCTCTATCTCTATGTATTATCTATCTGTCTTCATCATCATCTCTACGTCTCATCTATTAATGAATCAATCAATCATCATCTATGTATCTATAACCTAGTATCTATCATCTACCTATTTATCATCTATCTATATCTATCCATCTATCATCTGTCTTGCTCTGCCTCTCGGTCTCTCTAGTTCTCTTTGGAATCTCTGCAATTCATCCCCACATCTCCATCTTTCTATGTCCTTGTGCCTCTCCCTCAGGACTCTAATTTTAGTGCTTTTCTCTGCTCCCTTCCATCATTCTCACCACTCCTCTGCCCTCTTTTCTCTCTCTTTATGTGTCTGTGAGTCTCTCAATCTCCTTCCTCTGGCCCATTCTCTGTGTGTTTATGTCTTTGCTTTTTGGTGTTCCTGATTTTTCTCTGTGCCTCTCAGTGATCCTTTCATATGTGGGGTTATTTGGAATGTGAGCCTCAGAATCCAGTCTGGAGACTACAAGTTCACACAGCATACAGGGGTTGGTGTTCTGGGGCCATGATATCCTGGGACGATTACTCTCCATTACTTGGAAGGCAGAGGTGTCAGAATAAACACGGCATCTGTAGGTGCCAGAAGGCCTGAGGCCACAGGGCCCAACTCAGGTCAGAAATATGGGTGTCCTTGGGTTCTCCTGGTAGAGAACACTTTGTGGAGGTAAAACAGAAATGAAACTTGTAATCTGTGCCAGGTCTCTGAGCAAAGTCAGCATGGAGGGACACCTCTCTCTGGGACATGTCTGTCTGTCTGTCTCCTTTAACTCCTTCTGTCTTTTCTAACTCTCGGAATGGCCCCTGTGTCTGTCCTCTGTTATGACACCTGGTCTGTACTTGTGTCTCCTGTTTCTCTGTCTCTGTTGGTACAGACCTCACCAAGTCAGTCTCTCTCCATAAGAATACCAAGCTCATCTTCCTTACAACCACCTGGGCCTCCAAGTCCTGGATCATTCACTCTGTGTCCGAATGACAATGAGAAGAATGTCTGGACACTCTCACCTGTGATCACGATGTCCAGAGGGTCACTGGGAGCTGAAAACTGATAGGGGGAGTGAGGAACAGAACCGTAGCATCTGTAGGTCCCTGCCAGGTCTTGCCTCATGCGACCGATGGAGAAGTTGGCCTTGGAGACCCCATCAATGTGCTCTCCAATGAGGCGCAAAGTGTCGTTAAACGTCCCCTCTCTGTGCAGAAGGAAGTGCTCAAACATGACATCTGACCAACATTGCAGGATGACTGTCTCTTCTGATTTCACCAGGCGACCTGGGTGGGCCAGGAGGGAAGGTTTTCTGCGGAATCCTAGGAAGAGAGTTTGTGAATTTAGAAGGTGTCTCTCTTTATCATCCCATCCATGGCACCTGGATTGAGTGAGGCTTCCCCTCCCTGGTGTCTGTCTCTCTCCTTCCTCTCTGTGTCTTCATGTTCTTTTCTGTGCCCATAACTCCTGGTGCAGGTCCTTCCATCTGTCTCCCTCCCTCTTCTCTGTCCCTCTGTCTCTAGTAACCTCTGATTGTCTTGCCGCTGGGCTCAGCCTCATCTCTTCGGCTGTTGTATCTATTTTGAACTAATGTCTTTCCTGCTGTCTATGTGGGGGTGGAAGAGGAACCAGGATAGGCTGCACATCCAGGCTCTTAGCAGCCTGGTTCAATCTCTTTTGGACGAATTGGAATCCTTGGCAGGAGGTATGAACTGAACAGTAAGGCAGGCACCAGTGTCCACACACCCTTTTCCTGGTGGGGACTGGGAGCCACTCTTGCCATGCCTGTACCAGCTTCCATAGCCTGGCTCCTGGTGCTGGTTGGAGGAGTATCAACCGCTCCCTATGTGGATGGAGCCTGGTGGTGGCATCATAATCCCACACTTGCTGATCTTGGTGTAGCCAACCTTCTCCTTGTTTGGTTTCTTTAATTAATTAATTTTGGAGACAGAGTCTCACTCCTTTGCCCAGGCTGGAGTGAAGTGGTGTGGTCTAGGCTCACTGCAACCTCTGTCTCCTGGGTTCAAGTGATTCTCCTGCCCTCAGCCTCCCAAGTCGCTAGGATTACATGCACCTGCCACCACGCCCGGCTATCCTTGTGTCCTTTCTTAACTTTTCCTCGAGCTGGGTTCCGGTGTTGGTTTCCTGTTGCTGCTGTAGAAAATTATCAGCAGCATGGCAGCAGGAGAGAGCACACTGACCCCTTCCATTTTTGGAGGCAGAAGTCGGGCCCTGTTTTTCCTGGGCTAAAATCAAGGTACCTGCAGGGCTTCGTTCCCTCTGGAGACTCAGGAGAATCAGTTCCTTGACTTTTCCAGCCTCTATAGGCCACCTGCATTCATGGCTCCTGGCCTTCCTCCACCTTCAAAGCTGATGGAGACTCCCATTATGCTGCTCTAATCCCCACTCTCCTCTTCCTCCTCCTTTCATGTGGACCCTTGTGACTACACTGAGCCCAGGGGGACAGTCCAGGCCTTCTCCCATCTCAAGGTCAACTCATCAACAACCTGAGCTCCATCTTCCCCTTCAGTCCCTTCCCCTATAACATAAATAGTCACAGACTCCAGGGATTAGAATGTAGTCATCACTGGGGACAATTATTCTTCTCACCACAGTACCCATTTCCCTGTATTCAATCCCCCTTTACCCCAAATACAGTCAGGGCCTGCGTGAAGGGACCCTCAAGGACATGCCTACCGGAAGCTCTGGGATTCAGGAGGTGGGACAAGGAGAATCCCAGACAGGAGCCCTCTGACCTGTGACCATGATCAGCAGGGGGTTGCTGGGTGCCGACCACCCACTGGGGGAGTGTGGGTGTGAACCCCGGCATCTATAGGTCCCTGTGTGTGACGGGGTCACAGGGCCCATGAAAAGGCTTTTCCAGAATATTCTGTTGTAGTGTTCAGGGACAGGCACCCCATCATCCTTGTACAGACTGAAGTTGTTAAACCCAAGATTAGAGTGACACCGAAGAGTCACATGTTCTGGAGGCACCACAAGGCTGGGCCAGGTAGAAAGCAAGGGCTTGTCCTGACCACCTTGGGGAGAAGGAGGCGCCACCTTAGAGAGGAGGATGTGCAGCCGCCCCTCCCTCCCTGTGCTCAGAAGATTCTCCCCACTTTCCACATTTCTATGGCTGCTATCACACCTTGGTGCCTAGGGCTAAAGGAAGGACTCATCCCACAAAGACAAGGTGTCTCCCTACAACAAAAATGTCAGCTGAGAACTTTGAGCAAGTGCTGAGTAAGAGACTCCTACTAGATTTTAATACTGTAAGATTACTCACATAAAACAACACAGGGTAGACATGGGGTGGAGGGCATGTCCTTTGAGAATGGAATATCAGCAGATGCCTGAATGAAAATAAACAACTGAGCCCCCATCAGAGGATTTGGAATGTCAGGGCCATGGCTGTGGTTTCCCACCTCTTCTGGTAGAATGAGAGCAGCCACACTGCAGCCCCTACCATCATGGAAACGCTGAAGTGTGTGAGTAACACCTTTGTCCTCAGAGGATCTGCTGTTCCTACCACTTCCCCACCACACAACCCAGCTTTGAGCACCCTAGTGTAACCCTGGTCCCCACAGAACTTGACTCTGCCAAGGAAATGAAAGGCTGGGGAGGCGAGGTCGGAACTGTGGGCCAAGCACCCCAGGGTCCCCTCTTTCTAGTTTAAGAGAGACTCCCCGACAGGACTTCCCTCCCGTTTCAGGAAAATCCTCTTATGTGGGGAGATGACACCTTAAGGTTTGGAGAAGGACTTACCCTCATGTGGCCAGGCCCCCTGCAGCCAGAAGAACCCTGGAAAGAAAGACCATGATGGACCATCCATCTGCAGGCAAACCAGGCCTCCCTTGCTATCCCCACTAGGCTGTGAGTCTTGGTAGCCAGGCCCTTCCTGGGCCGAAGGGAAACTCACCCTCAGTGCCTACCTGCACCCAAGAACAGGGCTCTCGGCTGTGCAGAGACCCAGCCTCCAGGCCCATATCCCCACCCCAAGCCCATATCTCCACTCCAGGCACATATCTCCACTCCAGGCTGATATTCCCACCCTAGGCCCATATAGCCAATCTGGGCCCACATCTGCAATCCAGGCTCAGATCTCCACCCCAGGCCCATAACTCCAGTCCAGGCCCATATCTCCACTCCAGGCCCATATCTCCTCTCCAGGCCCATATCTCCACTCCAGGCCCATATCTCCACCCCGGGCCCAGATCTCCACCTCCAGGCCCATAACTACATTCCAGGATCATATCTCCACTCCAAGCCCATATCTCCACAACAGGCCCATATCTCCACTCCAGTCCCATATCTCCACCCCACGCCCATATCTCCATTCCAGGCCCATATCTCCACTCCAGGCCCATATCTTCACCACACGCCCATATCTCCACTCCAGGCCCATATCTCCACCCCACGCCCATATCTCCACTCCAGTCCCATATCTCCACTCCACGCCCATATCTCCACTCCAGTCCCATATCTCCACCCCATGCCCATATCTGCACTCCAGTCCCATATCTCCACCCCACACCCATATCTCCACTTCAGTCCCATATCTCCACTCAAGGCCCATATCTCCACCCCACGCCCATATCTCCGCTCCAGGCCCATATCTCCACTCCAGGCCCATATCTCCAACCTCCAGGCCCATATCTCCACTCCAGGCCCATATCTCCATCTCCAGGCTCATATCTCCACTCTAGGCCCATATCTCCACTCCAGGCCCTTATGTCCACCTCCAGGCCCATATCTGCACTCCAGACCCACATCTCCACTCCAGGCCCATATCTGCACTCCAGGCCCCTATCTCCACTCCAGGGCCATATCTCCACTCCAGGCTCATATCTCCACTCCAGGCCCATATCTCCAATCCAGGCCCAGATCTCCACTCCAGGCCCAGATCTCCACCTCCAGGCCCATATCTCCACTCTAGGCCCATATCTCCACTCCAGGCTCATATCTCCACTCCAGGTCCATATCTCCACCTCCAGGCCCATATCTCCACTCCAGGCCCATAACTCCACCTCCAGGCCTATATCTCCACCTCTGGGCCCAGATCTCCATCCCCGCGCTCCCTCCCTCTATTCCCTTCCAGGACTCACCAACACATGCCATGCTGATGACCATGAGCGACATGGTGGTGCCGGAGCAGACAGGCGGCCGCACCCCTAGCTCAGCTCAGCAGCGCACAGGATGTTATTTGGCTCCCTGCCCATGCAGTTTACATGTTGACCACATCATGGGAGGGTGACGTACGCAGGCTCTTTCTACCTTTCATGAGGCCCAGTGGGTGCTCGCTCAAGAGCAGAACACGGCTTCCTGGAAATTGTTCTCACTAGAATTTACACCTAGCGTCCTTCACTATGACCAACTCAAAACACGTCTCAGATCCAACCTCCGGAACACAGGATGCCTAAAATCTGTGCTAACGTGAAAAACTTTTCATGTATTTTTATTGTTTTTATCTGAGATTCAAACTCTTCTTCATGTGTAATATGCAAAATATCTAATAGGTATTATTAATGTTTTCAGAGTCATTGTGACTAATAAACCATTAGAATTTTTCATGCTTGTATTTCTAGTATTACAGCAGAACCAGTTAAAATGATTTAAATTCCCAGGGAAGGATTATGCAATTATTTACAATCTTCGAATTGTACTTTATCAGCAAAAACCACACATGTAAATTCTGGATTTTTATAGTTTTATCTATAATTTGTCTCATGACCCAAGATTCCAGAGTCCCAACTCTGGAGTTTGCTCTCTCTCTGTCTCTGTCCCTCCCTCATTTTAAATTTTACAGAAATATCCAGTAACATAATGCTATAGAAAATCAAGTTTCCCCCAGCATGTTGGGAAGCCGCGGTGGGCGAATCAACTGAGATGAGGAGTTTGAGAGCAGCCTGGCCAACATAGTGAAACCGTGTCTCTGCTAAACATTCAAAAATTAGCCGTGCCTGGTGGCAGACACCTGTAATGCCAGCTACTCAAGAGGCTGAGGCACGAGAATCGCTTGAACCTGGGAGGCGGAGTTTGCAGTGAGCTGAGATTGCACTACTACAGTCCAGCCTGGGTGACAGAGCAAGATTCCGCCTTAAGAAAAAAAAAATAGCAAGTAGCCTATAATAACAAATTAGAGGGCTCTGGCTACTAAATTTAAAGGGTTCTATAAGGCTACATGAAGTGCAGCATCCTCAAGAGTGTGGACACAGAGAGCCCCTTAGCAGAAACAGTGTCTAAAATACATCCGTGTACACACAGTCCCTTTAGAGTTGACAAAGGCTGCCCTGTGGTTTAAGGTGGCATAGAATGTCTTCTCAATAAATAATATTAAACCAAAGGGTTACACGTAGGAAAAAATAAATCTAAACTTATTCTCACACTATAAAAACACTTCTTGTTTTTATCTAGTTTATAATTTTTTTATGATTTATATTTAAAATTGAGAAATAACAGTTTTATACGGTCATCCTTCACTATTCCTGGGTGATTGGTTTCAGGATCTCCACTCAGATACCAAAATCTGCAGATGCTCAAGCCTCTTACATGAAATGGCACAGCATTTGCATATAACCCATGCACATCCTCCTGTGTACATGAAATCATCTCTAGATTACTTATAATTCCTGATATGGCCTACACACTGCTTCATTTGTGTCCCTTCAACATAGTTTTGCTTTTTGAAAGTTTGTGGATTTTCTTCTCTGAATATTTTTTATTTATAGTTGGTTCAATAAACACCTGTAAACCCCACAGATACGGAGGAGCGACTGTATATATATATATAGCATGAAAGATGATGTGTTGATATGTGTCCCCATGGAGATGAGACTAACAAGGCCTATGACTCTACAAATGTTTCATCGTGGAATGACTCTGCCAGCTTTCCAGGTCTGCAGAGAGTAAGAATATCACTTGTTCATGTGATTCATGATCCTTGGAACCTCCTATGTGCTGCATCTTTGGATGGAAATTGGAGTCCCAGAGACAAATGAGGCTCCACCCTGCTTCCAGAAGCTCAGAGTCCAGGGGAGAGAACCCAGTGGATAACAGATGGGGTTATGTGGACATGGTAATGATAACAGCGGTTTCTTTCAGCGAATAGTGTCACATTACCTAAAGCAATGAGGGCAGACATGTTTATTTGAAAAGGAGACAGCTACATTGAAATCACAAAAAATTTTATAAGTTTCACTGCTGACTGACAGAAGGCTGGAAAATAGTCTGAGGAAAGGTGAAACAGCATGAGGGAAGGTGGAACAGCACGTGTCTCAGTGCCATGTTAAGAGGGAGCCTCTTGTATGTCTGGAATTGTGAGTTCCTCAGTGTGATTGCAGCCTCAAGTAGACTAGGAAGTAAGCCAGTTCAGTTGGAGAGGTGGGCAGGGGTCAAGTGAAATAGAGAATTGTGGGCTAAGCAAAGGTGTGTGTCTTCTCTCCAGCAGGCAGTGGGGACCTTAGACATTTGTAAGCAAGAGAGAGGCATGTTCAGATTTGTGGTGTGAGGAAGAGCGATCCCCTAAGATGAAGACTGATGCCTTCAGATTCCAGCTGCTGGTACATGGGAGCTAGCAACCCGGTTTTGAGACAGGGCTGTTGTCTCCCTAGAAGATCCCCTCAAGGCCTGACTGTGGTGCTTATGGGCAGGAGACAATGATCTTGGCTTAGCATTTGGAAGTTCCATGTACATGGTGGTATCTGTTGGAGGTGTCTTGGGCCTCTGAGAAGGGGAAGTGATTTTTGTCTGTGTGAAAACGCAGTGATCCAACTGTGCATATGTCACCTCCTGAGGGTCTTGATCATCAGAGTCCTGGAGAGAGGGAAATGCTGAGTGAGGGAGGGTGCTCACATTCTTCAAGACTATTAGGGAATGAGACTCAATCCATGAGGCTGGGCTGAGGAGAACCTACCTCCCTGTTCACTGTTCTGTCCCCGGCAGGCTCTTGGTCCATTACAGCAGCATCTGTAGGAGATAGAAGTCATCAAAACAGCTGGAAGGGCACTTTTGGGTCCTCATTTCATGAGCAGACACAAACACACAGCGGGAGGCCGTAGGTGCCTGAGGTCCCTCAGCTGTCATCAGCCAGACCCAGACATTCTATCTCTCTGAGCTCAAGGACCCATCCCATGAATAGCTCTGAGTTCCCATCCCAGTGATTCTGTCTCCCCTTTCTGCCTGTCATGGAACCTTCTCCTGGATGTCAGTGGCTGCAGGGGACGTGAGGATACAGTTCAGAATCAGGCAATGGTCTGTGAGCTGAAGGCAGGGGCAGGGTGTCTGGTGCTCTCTCTAGAAAGCCCTGCCTCTGTGGCTCCTGCCTTGGTCCAGGGACCATCCTGCCAGTCAGGAACACACACCAGTGTGCTCCCATCCTGCTTCCCCACATGGTCCTGAGCTCTCTGACCTCTGCTTCGTGAGACTTACTCTTTTTGTTGGAGCAGCAGCAATGAAGGAGAAAGAAGAAGAGGATGATGAAGAGGATGATAGCCACTGAGGTCCCAATCAGAATGTGCAGGTGTCTGCGGATACCTGGGGGAAGGTGGGAATCCAATAAGAAGCTAATTATAGCAGTTCCTCTTTATGGATTGTCTCTCATTTCTTGGTTGCCAGCTAAGCACATACAACATCTGTTTAGGACAAGTTCCCCGATGGCAGGATACCCAGCTTTCTCCTGCTTTCTCAGTTATAGTTCTCAAAATAATCAGAGAACATGCTGGGGATACCACTGCTATAGTTTGAATGTTTGACCCCGCCAAACCTCACGTTGACACTTATCTCGCAGTGTGGGAGGCTGGGCCTATTGAGAGACGTTCCAGTTATGGGGGTGGATCCATCATGAATACATTAATGCTGTCCCCATGAGACGTGGTTGGCAAGTTCTCCATGAGGTCCCTAGGACTGGTTGCTAAAAAGAGCATGGGGTTTCTCCATGTTGGCCAGGCTGGTCTCAAACTCCTGACCTCAAGTGATCCAAACGCCTTGGCCTCCCAAAGTGTTGGGTTACAGGCGTAAGCTCCCATTCACAGACTTGTATATTATGCTATAATAAGTCCCTTCATTTGCACCACCCCTCATCTATCTATCACTCCTCTGCCAGATATTGATTTACATGTAGGAAAAATAAATCTCAGAAAGAAATTAATATATTCAAAATTAAATAAGTAGGCATTATCAAATCCAGCAAGACCTCCCTACAAATGATTCTACCTCACAGACATATCTTATACCCATCTACTTCATTCATTTAGTGTCTAAATCAGCACCACATTTCACCAGTGGGGCGGGAATTGCCTTTTCCACGGTCTCCTAGATTCCAGTTACGCACTTGGGCGTCCCTTATTTTCATGTCAGTCATATTAATCATGTAGGGATTCCTGGTTACCCCGAGGTGAATCCAATGGCTGTGAGTGTCAAACACACGCTCCTTGTTGCTCCTTAGTTTCCTGTGTACCCAGTGTGCTCTCCGTCTCCCTACAGTCATCTTGTCATTCTCCCCACGTCATTCCCAGCATTTGAATGCAGAGCCTCTTCCTTCCACATCAGATTGTTTTCACATTTGTGCCTTCACGGCTGACAGCTGTGTGTGGAAAATCCTTCCGCCCATCTTCCAGGGGTTGAATCTACTTTTTTTTTTCATTATGGTCACAAATATTATCTGATTAGTGAGACTTTCTCTGTCTCCTGAAATTATACACTTAGAATTCTTTATTATTTATTTTAAATTTCGGCTGGGCGCAGTGGCTCACGCCTTGAGTCCCAGCATTTTGGGATGCTGAGACGGTCGGATCACTTGAGGTTGGGAGTTGGAGACAATCTGCGCAACATGGTGAAACTCCATCTCTACTAAAAAATATAAAAGAAAATTAGCTGGGTGTGGTGGAGGGGACTGGAATCACAACTAGTCAGGAGGCTGAGGCAGGAGAATCGCCTGAACCCGGGAGGCGGAGGTTGTGGTGAGCTGAGGTCATGCCACTGCACTCCAGCCCGGGGACAGAGAATGACTTCGCCGCAAATAAATAAATACATAAATAGATAAATAGATAAATAAATAGGTAAATAGATTTCATGCACGGATGCTTCCCAATGGATCAATCATTACTGGTCCACTTGTGCATTCATATTCTGCCCTCCCATTTGCCCATCTGCAATGTCAGTGTCCTAAGAGCAGAGGCCAAATGCATCGTGTTTACCATTTGTGGAAGGCAGGAGAATGCTGGCCCACCCCCAAAATGTCCCTGTCCTAGCCTCCATAGCTTGTGAATATGTTATTTTACATGAAAGGAGGAATAAAGATTGCAGATGGAATTATGGTTGCTAATCAGCTGAACTTAAAAAGAGGTTATCTTGGGTGATTTTAGGGAGATTGTGATGGATTATCTTGGTAAACTCAATAGAATCCCAAAGTCTTTAAAAGAGGAAGAAAAAGTCAGAGCAACACTTAGAGAAAGAGGTGAGGTAAGGAAGAGGGATCTGAGTGATGCCACGTGAGAGATGTGACGAGCTTTTGTGGACTTCGAGGAAGGAGGATGGGGACCAGATGCCAAGGAACGTGGGAACCTCTGGGAGCTGGGAAATGTGAAAAGCCGATTCTCGCCTGGAACCTTCAGAGAAAAGGCAGCCTCGCAGTCACCTTGATTTTAGCCCAGTGAAATGCATTTCATATTTCTGAGCTATAACACTGTAAGATAATTTTAAAAGCTGTGTTGTTGTCATCCATGAAGTTTGTGGAGATTTATTATGGCAACAGCAGGAAAGGGTTCCACACTGTACAGTCAGAGCACAGGGCAGTGGCTGAATAAGTGAGTGAGTGGAAGTGTCATATTCGTGGATGAACTACGTTCCTTCTTACTGCAAGGCTCTTGCTCTGCTGACTCAGCCAAGGTCGCATCATGACCAACAGGGGCTCATTCCTTGGCAAGTGGAACTTCTCTAAATCACCTTTCCCTCATCAGATGTTCCCTTCCCCTCCCTCTCTCAAGTCCCCTCGAATTTATCCTCCAATTTGGAATGCAGGCAGAAAAAACACCACATTATCCCTGAGAAGGATGTCAGATTTGTACTCGTCCGTCTAGCTTGGAGGAGGTCTCAGCTGCAGAAATTTGAAATGAAGAGACTTCACTGAGCCCTTTGCTGTCCTCAGATACCCTTCGCTGTTGTAGTGTCTGGGGGTCAGAGATGTTAGAAGACAGGCCCACAATCACAGAGCTGGGAGGTGCTGAGCCAATGCTTGAATCCAAGATACCAACCTCCCCAGGTTTCCAAAAGCAGAGATAAGAGGGATCTTTACTCACCAGTTTTGGAGCTTGGTTCAGTGGGTGAAGATGAACTACTTGAAGAGTTTCCTAGAACACAGGACAGGAGAGAGGTGAGGAAATGAGGATGCCTGTCTTCTACTCAAAGGAAATCTTTGAGGTTGGTTCATGGCCAACACTCTGTTATCTAATGTTGGGCCCTAGGAGTCCTGGCGTCCCCTTCTCCATCATCATTGTTAAATGATGCCCAGTGTCCTGAGATTTCGAGGTATAAAGACAAAACAGGTGCTGGAGGCCTCACACTCCCTGACTTAAAAATATGTTACAAAGCTGTAGTAAGCACAACAGCATGACATTGGCATAAAGGCCCTTAGAGCAATGGAGCAGAATGAAGAACACAGATATAATTCATGCATTCACATCCAATGGACTTTGACGATTGTAGGTGCCAAGAACCTGCAATCAGGAAACGACGGTCTTTTCAATAAATGGAGCAGGGAAAACTGGTATCTACATGCAGTTGATGAAACTGCACCTCTACCTCTCACCATACACAGAAATCAAATGAAAATGGAAGAAACACTTAAGGCCTGAAACCATTAAGCGTCTAAAAGGAAAGAGTGGGGAAATGCTCCAGGACATTTGTCTGAGGAAAGACATTTTATTTGAAATCTCAAAAACACAAGAAATCAAAACAAAATAATAGACCTTCGGGATTACATCAAAGTAAGCAGCTTCTGCACCGCAAAGGAAGCAACCAACAAAGTGAAGAAGAGACAAATTGGGAGAAAATATTTGTGAAGTATGCATCTGAGAGGGGATTAATAACTAGAATATACATAAAACTCAAGCAACGGTATAAAACAATGAATTTAATTTAACAATTAGTAAAAGACCTGAACAGACATTTCTCAACAAACAAAACGTACAAATGGCGAACATGTACATGAAAAAGTGCTCAGTATCACTAATCATGCCAATTGAAATCACAGTGAGCTATCATCTCATCCCATTAAAGTGGCTTTTATCTGAAACACAGACAAAATGAATGCTGGCAAGGTGGTAGAGAAAGGAGAACCCTGGTACCCTGTTGATAGGATCTAGCAATTCCACTACTGGGTGTAAACCCAAAGGGAAGGACATCAGTGTATCGAAGTGATATCTGCACTCATACGATTGGTGCAGCACTGTTCACAGTAGCCAAGATGTGGAGTCAACTTACCTGCCCGTCAGTGGGTGAATGGATAGAGAGAATGTAGTACACACACACAGTGGAGAGTACTCATCCGTAGAAAGAATAACATCCTGACATTTGCAGCCACATGGATGGAACTGGAGGTCATTGCAAAGATTCCCATTTCTCACCCATATACAGGAGCTAAAAGGTGGATCTCATGAAGGTAGAGAGTAGAATGGTGGCTACCAGAGGGCAGGAAGTAAAGGGTGGAGTGTAACAACAACAATAAAAAAGAATATAGATGTATTTATTTATTTAGAGACAGAATCTCTCTCTGTCTCCCAGGCTGCAGTGCAGTGGCCTGATCTCAGCTCAGTGCAACCTCTGCCTCCTGGGCTTACGTACTTCTCCTGCCTCAGCCTCCCATGTAGCTAGGAATACAGGTGCATGCCAGCATGCCCAGCCAATTTTTCTTGTCTGTTTAGTAAAGATGAATTTCCCTCATGTTGGCCAGGCTGATCTCGAGCCTCTGATCTTAAATGATCCACCTTCCTTGGCCTCTCAAAGCACCGAGATTATAACTGTGAGCCACTGCACCCTGCATATAAAGGAATTTATGACCACTAGATTTTACTTTTAAAAATGGTAAAGGTGGCAAATTATATAGTTACATTTAACCTCAATAAATGTTTTTTCAAACGGAAAGAAAAGGGTGTAGGGGTTGCTGGTGATGACATCTCTGTGTGGGTGAGAGGCCAGTATGGGCTTCTGGGAAATGGGTAAGGTTGAGGGTCTGAGGAGCCTCTGATCTCCCCAAACTGAGCCGAGTCTCCCTCCTCTGGGTCTGTCCTGACCACTTTCTCCATCTGCCTGGGTGCCTGGAGCCCTGGCCGCGGGCCTCCATGCAGGCCGTGCAGGAGGGTTTGGAGGTGCCCTGTCTGCCATCCTGTGCCCTGATCCCTCCCTCACACCATGCTGCGTGTTCTCTCTGCATCTGTCCATGCTTCTCTCCATCATCAGCAGGAAGCTCCTCAGCTAAGGCTCTAGGATCACAGGACATGGGACAGGCATGGGCTTTCCTCACCTGTGACAGAAACAAGCAGTGGGTCACTCGGGTCTGACCACTCATAGGGTGAGTCATGGAGAGAGCTGAAGCATGTGTAGGTCCCTCCGTGGGTGGCAGGGCCCAGAGGAAAGTCAGCCTGGAATGTTCCATCGACGCTGGGCACTGCAGGGAGCCTAGGTTCATGGGCCCTCCCCTCCCTGGATAGATGGTACATGTCAAATGAGCTCCTGGAGCTGCAGGACAAGGTCACGTTCTCTCCTGTGCGAACCGTGGGGCCCGGCTGGGCTGAGAGTGAAGGTTTCCCAAATAGACCTGGAAGAAGAGGCAGTTTCCTCAGGGAGGTTCTTCCTTGTCACAGCTCCCCTCACACCTGAGCTGAGAACTCACTCCCCTGCTCTATGACCTAATGCTCTCTCTCTCTCTCACCCTCCACCCCCGACTCTCCCTGTGGATCCCTCCCTATGCAGCTCCAGCCTGGTGGTGGCATCAGCAGTGCACCCTTGCTGACCTTAGGGTAGCCAACCCTCTTGTTTGGTTTTTTAACTTGTCCTTGACCTGGATTCCTGTGTTGTTTCCTGTTGTTGCTGCAGAAAATTATCACAAACACGGCGGCGGGAGAGAACACTTCTGTTGACAGAAATCAGACCCTGTTCTTCCTGGGCTACAATCAAGGCATCTGCAGGGCTGCATTCCCTCTGGAGACTCGGGAGAATCAGTTCCATTGACTTCTCCAGCCCCTAAAGGCCACCTGCATTCCGTGGCTTCTGGCCTTCCTCCACTTTCAAAGCCCGCAGTGGCTGGTGGACTCTCCCTCCCACTACGCTGCTCTAATCCCCACTCTCCTCTTCCTCCTCCTCTCATGTGGACCCTTGTGATTACACTGAGCCCAGTGGGAGAGTCCAGGTCGTCTCCCCATCTCAAGGTCAACTCATCAACAACCTGAACTCCATCTTCCCCTTCAGTCCCATGTCCTATAACATAAATAGTCACAGGCTCCAAGGATTACAATATAGCCATGCTGCCGACAGTTACTCTTTCCACCACAGCACCCATTCCCCTGTATTCAATCCCCATTGACACCAAATACAGTCAGGGCCTGGATGATTGGACCCTGGTGGACACCCCCACCAGATGCTCTGGGATTCAGGAAGTGGGAGAAGGAGAAGCCCAGACATGAGTCCTCTGACCTGTGACCACGATCACCAGGGGGTTGCTGGGTGCCGACCACTCAATGGGGGAGCGCGGGTGTGAACCCCGACATCTGTAGGTCCCTGCGTGTGCAGGGGTCACAGGGCCCATGAGGATGCTCTTCCAGAATATTTTGTTGTAGAGCTCAGGGACAGGCACCCCATCTTCTTTGTACAGACTGAAGATGGTAAACCCAAGACGAGAGCGACACAGAAGAGTCACATGTCCTCCTCGAGGCACCACAGCGCTGGGCCAGGCAGACAGCAAGGGCTTGTCCTGTCCACCTGGGGGAGAAGGAGGCGCCACCTTAGAAAGGAGGATGTGGAGCCGCCCCTCCCTGCCAGTGCTCAGAAGATTCTCCCCACTTTCCTCGTTTCTAAGGCTCCTACCACACTTGGGTGCCCATGGCTACGGGAAGGACCCACCCCGCATAGACTTGGCGTCTCTCTACAACAAAAGTGTCAGCTGAGAACTTTGAGCAAGTGCTGAGTAAGGGACTCCTACTAGATTTTAATACTGCAAGATTACTCACATAAAACAACACAAATAGACATGGGGTCGAGGGCATGTTCTTTGTGAATGGAATATCAGCCAATGTGTGAACCACAATACACAACTGAGCCCCCAACAGAGGATTTGGAAGGTCAGGGCCCTGGCTGGGGTTCCCCCACCTCTGAGGTAGAATGACAGCAGCCACACTGCAGCCCCTACCGTCATGGAAACGCTGGAGGGTGTGAGTTACACCTTTGTCCTCAGAGGCCTGCTGTTCCTAGCACTGCTTTGCTCCCTTCCTCTGCCAGTGACACCACATCCCAGCCGCACAGCCCAGCTTGGAGGACCCCAGTCTACCCTCCCGGGTTCCCACAGAACCTGACTCAGCCAAGGGAAAGGAAGGCTGGGGAGGGCAAGGTCGGAACTGTGGGCTGAGCACCCCAGGGTCTCCTCATCCTTGTTTATAAGAAAATCCCCCACCGGGCTTCCCTCCTGTTTCAGGAAAATCCTCTTATGTGGGGAGATGACACCCGAAGGTTTGGAGAAGGACTCACCCTCATGTGTCCAGGCCCCCTGCAGCAAGAAGAACCCTGGAAAGAAAGATCATGATGGACCATCCATCTGCAGGCAAACCAGGACTCCCTTGCTGCCCCCACTGGGCTGTGAGTCTTGGTAGCCAGGCCCTTGCTGGGCTGAAGGGAAACTCACCCTCAGTGCCTGCTTGCACCCAAGAACAGGGCTGTCGGCTGTGTAGAGACCCAGCCTCCAGGCCCATATCCGCACCCCAGGCCCCTATCCCCACCCCAAGCCCATATCTCCACTCCAGGCCCATATCTCCACTCCAGGCCAATATTTCCACCCTAGACCCATATCTCCAATCCAGGCCCATATCTCCACCCCAAGCCCATATCTCCATCCTAGGCCCATATGTCCACTCCAGGCCCAGATATCCACCTCTAGGCCCATATCTCCACCTCCAGGCCCATATCTCCACCTCCAGGCCCATGTCTCCACTCCAGGCCCATATCTCCATCCCAGGCCAATATCTTCACTCCAGGCTCCTATCTCCCCTCCGGGTTCCTATCTCCACTCCAGGCCCAGATCTCCACTCCAGGCCCATATCTCCACCTCCAGGCCCATATCTCCACTCCAGACCCAGATCTCCACTTCTAGGCCCATCACTCCATCTCCAGGCCCATATATCCACTCCAGGCCCAGATCTCCACTCCAGGCCCATAACTCCACCTCCAGGCCTATATCTCCACCTCTGGGCCCAGATCTCCATCCCCGCACTCCCTCCCTCTATTCCTTTCCAGGACTCACCAACACACGCCATGCTGATGACCATGAGCGACATGGTGCTGCCGGTGCAGACAGGCGGCCGCGCCCCAGCTCAGCTCAGCAGCGCACAGGATGTTATTTGGCGCCCTGCCCATGCAGTTTACATGTTGACCACATCACGGGAGGGTGACGTACGCAGGCTCTTTCTACCTTGCATGAGGCCCAGTGGGTGCTTGCTCAAGAGCGGAACACGGCTTCCTGGAAATTGTTCTCACTAGAATTGGCACCTCGCGTCCTTCACTATGACCAACTCACAACACGTCTCAGATCCAACCTCCCGAACACAAGATGCCTAAAATCTGTGCTAACGTGAAAGACTTTTCATGTATTTTTATTGTTTTTATCTGAGATTCAAACTCTTCTTCCTGTGTAATATGCAAAGTATCTAATAGGTATTATTAATGTTTTCGGAGTCATTGTGACTAATAAACCATTAGAATTTTTCATGCTTGTATTTCTAGTATTACAGCAGAACCAGCTAAAATGATTTAAATTCCCAGGGAAGGATTATGCAATTATTTACAATCTTAGAATTGTACTTTATCAGCAAAAACCACACCTGTAAATTCTGGAGTTTTGTAGTTTAATCTAAAATTTGTCTCATGACCCAAGATTCCAGAGTCCCAACTCTGGAGTTTGATCTCTCTCTGTCTCTCTCCCTCCCTCATTTTAAATTTTACAGAAATATCCAGTAACATAATGCTATAGAAAATCAAGTTTTCCCCAGCACGTTGGGAAGCCGAGGTGGGCGGATCAACTGAGATAAGGAGTTTGAGAGCAGCCTGGTCAACATAGTGAAACCGTGTCTCTGCTAAAAATCCAAAAATTAGCCGTGCCTGGTGGCAGGCACCTGTAACGCCAGCTGCTCAAGAGGCTGAGGCACGAGAATCGCTTGAACCTGGGAGGTGGAGGTTGCAGTGAGCTGAGATTGTGTCACTGCAGTCCAGCCTGGGCGACAGAGCAAGACTCCGCCTCAAGAAAAAAAAAGCAAATAGCCTATAATAACAAATTAGAGGGCTCTGGCTACTAAATTTAAAGGGTTCTATAAGGCTACATAAAGTGCAGCGTCATCAAGAGTGTGGACACAGAGAGCCCCTTAGCAGAAACAGTGTCTAAAATACATCCATGTACACACAATCCCTTTAGAGTTGACAAAGGCTGCTGTGTGGTTTAAGGTGGCATAGAATGTCTTCTCAATAAATAATATTAAACCAATGGGTTACACCTAGTAAAAAATAAATCTAACTGACACTATAAAAACACTTCTTAGTTTTTATCTAGTTGTACATTTTTTATGATTTATATTTAAATTTGAGAAATAAAAGTCATATACGGTCATCCTTCACTATTCGTGGGTGATTGGTTTTGAGATCTCCACTCAGATACCAAAATCTGTAGATGCTCAAGCCTCTTATATGAAATGGCACAGCATTTGCAAATAACCTATGCACATCCTCCTGTATACATGAAATCATCTCTAGATTACCTATAATTCCTGATACAGCCTACACACAGCTTCATTTGTGTCCATTTAACATAGTTATGCTTTTTGAAACTCTGTGGATACTTTCTCTCAATATTTTTGATTTATACTTGGTTCAATAAACACCTGTAAACCCCGCAGATATGGAGGAGTGACCGTATATTTATATTATGAAAGAAGATGTGTTGATATGTGTCCCCATGGAGATGAGACTAACAAGGCCTATGACTCTACAAATGTTTCATTGTGGAATGACTCTGCCAGCTTTCCAGGTCTGCAGAGAGTAAGAGTATCACTTGTTCATGTGATTCGCGATCCTTGGAACCTCCTATGTGCTACATCTTTGGATGGAAATTGGAGTCCCAGAGACAAATGAGGCTCCACCCTGCTTCCAGAAGATCAGAGTCCAGGGATGAGAACTCAGTGGGGAACAGATGGGATTATATGGACATGGTACTGATAACACCGGAAGCCTTAGGCAAGAAAAGAGTCCCATTACCGAAACCATGGGGGCAGACATGTTTATTTGAAGGATGGAAAACTACATTGAAGTTATTTTAAAAAGTATATAAGTTTTACTGCTGACAGAAGGCTGAAAGCTAGTCTGAGGGGAGGTGGAACAGCATGAGGGAAGGTGGAACAGCACGTGTCTAAGTGCTGCGTTAAGACGGAGCCTCTTGTATGTGTGGAATTGTGAGTTCCTCAGTGTGATTGCAGCCTCAAGTAGACTAGGAAGTAAGCCAGTTAGGTTGGAGAGGTGGGCAGGGGTCAAGTGAAATGGAGAACTGTGGGCTAAGCAAAGGAGTGTGTTTTTTCTCCAGCAGGCAGTGGGGACCTTAGACATTTGTAAGCAAGTGAGAGGCACATTCAGATTTGTGGTGTGAGGAAGAGCGATGCCCTAAGATGAAGACTGATGCCTTCAGATTCCAGCTGCTGGTACATGGGAGCTGGCAACCCAGTTTTGAGACAGGGCTGTTGTCTCCCTAGAAGATCCCCTCAAGGCCTGACTGTGGTGCTCGTGGACAGAAGACAACTTTGGATCTGGGCTCAGCATTTGGAAGTTCTATGTACATGCTGGTATCTGTTGGGGGTGTCTTGGGCCTCTGAGAAGGGCGAGTGATTTTTCTCTGTGTGAAAACACAGTGTTCCAATTATGCGTATGACACCTCCTGATGGTCTTGTTCATCAGAATCCTGGAGAGAGGGAAATGCTGAGTGAGGGAGGGTGCTCACATTTTTCAGGACTCTTTGGGAATAACACTAGCCACGAGGCTGGGCCGAGGAGCACCTACCTCGCTGTTCACTTCTGTTCCCTGCAGGCTCTTGGTCCATTACAGCAGCATCTGTAGAAGACGGAAGTCAACAAAAGAGCTCGGAGGGCACTTCTGGGTCCTCATTTCATAAGCAGATACCAACAAACAGGGGGAGGCCATAGGTGCCTGAGGTCCCTCAGTTGCCAACAGCAGACTCAGACATTCTATCTCTCTGAGTTCAAGGACCCATCCCATGAATAGCTCTGAGGTCCCATTCCATTGATTCTATCTCCCACTTTCTGCCTGTCATGGAACCTTCTCCTGGATGTGAGTGGCTGCAGGGGACGTGAGGATACAGTTCAGAATCAGGCAATGGTCTGTGAGCTGAAGGCAGGGGAAGGGAATCTGGTGCTCTCTCTAGAAAGTCCTGCCTCTGTGGCTCCTGTCTTGGGCCAGGGACCATCCTGCTGGTGAGGAACACACACCCGTGTGCTCCCATCCTGCTTCCCCACATGGCCCTGAGCTCTCTGGCCTCTGCTTCGTGAGACTTACTTTTTTTTGTTGGAGCACCAGCGATGAAGGAGAAAGAAGAGGAGGATGGTGAAAGGGATTTTGACCACTGAGGTCCCAATCAGAATGTGCAGGTGTCTGAGGTTACCTGGAAGAAGAGGAGACACCAATAAGAAGCTAATCATAGCAGTTCCTCTTTATGAATTGTCTTGCATTTCTTGATTCACAGGTAACCACATACAGCGTCTCTTTAGGACAAGCACCCAGATGGCGGGAGACCCAGCTTCCTCCTGCTTTCTCAGTTATAGCTCTCATAGTAACCATAGAACGTGCTGAGGATACCACTACTTTAGTTGAGATGTTTGACCCCTTCAAACCTCAGATTGAAATTTACCCCCCAGTGTGGGAGGGTGGGCCTCTTGGGAGGTGTTTGAGTCATGGGGGTGGATACATCATGAACAGATCAATGCTGTTTTAAGGAGACGGGGTTAGCAAGTTCTCCCTCTATTAGTTCCTGGAGAGCTGGTTGTTCATAAGAGCTTGGAAGCTCCATCACTCCCCCTCTCCCTTGCTCCCTCTCTTGCCGTGTGATCTCTGTGGTCTCTGCACAGACAGACCCTCCTTCCCTTCTGCCAGAGTGGGAGCAGCCTGAGGCAGTCACAAGAAATAGATGCTGGTGCCATGCTTCCAGTACAGCCTGCGGAACTGTAAGGCAAACCAAAATCTTTTGTTTAGAAGTTACCCAGGCTCAAGTGTTCCTTTAGAGCAACAAAAATGGACTAAGACAGCAACGTCCTGAGATCAGGAGGAAAGTCCCAGAACAGCCTGGGCTGTCTTCCTGTTCTTCCTGGAGGAGGACGTGATGCAGTGCTTTAGCTGAGTGCTTCCTGTGGCTCCAGGGTACAAAACCCAGGTTGGGCTGCTTTCTGGCTTCCCCCAGCTACACTGCAAATGGGGTGACTCCACATGTCTCGAGCAGCTTTTCTGAGCCTTGGGGAACTGGCTCACATTGAAATGTAGGCTTCTGTTGTCACTCGCTGCTTATCTGTTAGTAATGAACCTGCCTGTGTAATGTGTTCTCTGTGTGTTCTGTCTCCCTGGAGTGACGGTGAGTGATAGGAATTGGCATAGGCCCAGGTGCAGTCCAGGAGGTGTTTAGAGTCTTCTCTGGGAAGACTGGACTGGGATTGATACACAGCGAATGTGCTTTAGGATTTCTACATCCACGGCATTCTTGAGTTAAACAACTTGCATTCTCCAAGAAAAGGAAACAAAAGTGAAATCAAGATCAAAAATGCGAAGTAGAATTCTCTTATGTCAAACAGCCAGAAAATAGTGTTGAAGCCCGTGTGAAATGTGCTATTCTTTGTGATCTCGGGAGACACATGTTAGGCTGCTGTTCTACCTGACAGGCTGGGGGAAGGACCACCCCCTCGACTATCTATTGCTTCAATACCACCTGTCCTCCTGTGAATTAGTAGGAAAGGGGAGCAGGAGCTAGTGCTGGCACTGATCTCTGATTCCAAGATCTGGACTCACTCCAAGGAGTATTAGCATTTACCTCCCCATGGTCTATCTGTATCTGCACAGGTGATTGGAAGTAGGGGTGAGGTGGGGGATTTGGGTGAGGGGGCAAGTTTTTTTTGTGATGACCAGAGCACTTTCTCTATTCCAGGATTTGTGCTGGAGGATTCAGCGGGCTTTCACATTTTCTATATGATCTCATGCTCACAGAAAGCCAAATACGGAAGAGGTTTTAGGCTGATTGTCTAATGGATAAGATAAAGAATCAAAGAAGTAATTATAGAGAAATAGAAAAATGATGATGGGAATTCAGGTGCCTTTGTCGTTCGTGTGTGTTTTATTATATTTATGCATTTCTTATTTTTATTTTTTGAGACGGAGTCTCCTTGTGTCACCCAGGCTGGAGTGCAGTGATGCGATCTCCACTCACTGCAACCTCCACCTCCTGGGTTGAAGTCATTCTCCTGCTTCATCCTCCAGAGCAGGAGCTGGGATCACAGGGATGCACCACCATGCTCGGCTAATTTTTGTATTTTTAGGAGAGATAGGGTTTCACCATGTAGAGATAGGGTTTCACCATGTTGGCCAGGCTGGTCTCGAACTCCTGATTTCTTGGAATCCACTGGCCTTAGCCTCCTGCAGTGCTGGGTTACAGGAGTGAGCCACCGTTCACAGACTTGTATACTATGCTATAATAGGTCCCTTCATTTCCACCACCCCTCATATATCTGTCACTCCTTTGCCAGGTATTGATTTATGTGTAGGAGGAATAAATCTCAGAAAGAAATTAATTTAGCAAGGATTAAACAACTAGGAAACTCAAACCCAGCAAGCCCTCCCTGCAAATGATTCTACCTCCCAAGCATAGCTTATATCCATCTGCTTCATCCACTTAGGGTCTAAATCAGCACCACATTTCACCAGTGGGGTGGCAATTGCCTTTTCCACAGTCTCCTAGATTCCAGTTACGCACCTGGGCCTCCTTTATTTTCATGTCAGTCATATTAATCATGTAGGGATTCCTGGTTACCCCGAGGTGAATCCAATGGCTGTGAGTGTCAAACACACACTCCTTGTTGCTCCTTAGTTTCCTGTGTACCCAGTGTGCTCTCCGTCTCTCTACAGTCGTCTTGTCATTCTCCCCACTTCATTCCCAGCATTTGAGGCAGAGCCTCTTCCTTCAACATCAGATTGTTTTCACCTTTGTGCCTTCACAGCTGACAGCTGTGTGGAAAATCCTTCCGCCAATCTTTCAGGGGTTCAATCCGTGTTTTTCATTAATGTCACAAATATCTGATTAGTGAGACCTTCTCTGTCACCCAAAATTATACACTCAGCATTATCTATTATTGATTTTGAATTCTGGCTGGGCAAAGTGGCTCACGCCTGTAATCCCAGTACTTTGGGTTGCTGAGATGGTCGGATCACTTGAGGTTGGGAGTTTCAGACAAGCTTGGCCAACATGGTGAAACATCCTCTCTACAAAAAATATACAAAAAGAGTTAGCCGGGCATGGTGGCAGTTGCCTGTAATCCCAGCTACTCGAGAGGGTGAGGCAGGAGAATCACTTGGATCCAGGAGACGCAGGTTGCAGTGAGCCAAGATCGTGACACTGCACTGTAGCCTGGAAGACAGAGGGAGACTCTGTCTCAATAAATAAATGAACGAACAAACAAATAGATTTCATGCACAGATGCTTCCCAATGGATCATTCATTTATTGGTCCACTTGTGCATTCATTTTCTGCCCTCCCATTTAACCATCTGCAATATCAGTGTCCCAAGAGCAGAGGCCAAATGCATCTTGTTCACCGTTCGTGGAAGGCAGGAGAATGCTGTCCCACCCCAAAATGTCCCTGTCCTGGCCTCCATAGCTTGTGAATATGTTATTTTACATGGAAAGGAGGAATGAAGATTGCAGATGGAATTACGGTTGCTAGTCAGCTGAACTTAAAACAAGGGTATCCTGAATGATTTCCGGGAGATTATGATGGATTTTCATCTTGGTGAACCCAATAGAATCCCCAAGTTTTCAAAAGATAAGGAAGAAGGGAGAGCAGCATTCAGAGAAAGAGGTGTGGTAAGGAAGAAGGGTCTGAGTGATGCCATGTGAGATGTGACCAGTCTTTGTGGGCTTTGAGGAAGGAGGAAGGGGACCAGGAGCCAAGGAACTGGGAGCCTTTAGAAGCTGGGACAAGTGAGAAGCAGATTCTTGCCTGGAACCCTCAGAGGGAAGGCAGCCTTGCTGTCACCTTGTTTTTAGCCCAGTGAGATGCACTTCATACTTTGAGCTACAGCACTGTAAGATAATTAAAAAGCCGCTTTATTTTCACCCACGAATCTTGTGGAAATTTGTTATGGCAACAATAGGAAAGGATTCCAACTGCACAGCCTGAGCATGGGGCCGTGGCTGAATGAGTCAGTGAGTCGAAGTGTGCGTGCATGAGCTCTGTTCTCTGTTACGGCAAGGCTCTTGCTCTGCTGAGTCAGCCAGGGTTGCTTCATGACCAACAGTAATTCATTCCTTGGCAAGTGGAACTTCTCTAAAACACCCACCCTCATGAGATGTTCCCTTCCCTTCCCTCTCTCAAGTCCCCAGGAATTTATCCTCCAGTTAGGAATGCAGGCAGAAAAAACACTGCATTTTTCCTGAGAAGGATGTCAGATTGGCAATCATTCTTCTAGCTTGTAGGAGGTCTCACCTGCAGGACATTAAAGGTTAAGAGACTTCGCTGAGCCCTTTGGTGGCCCTAGATCCCTTTCACTGTTGGAGTGTCTGGAGTTCAGAGATGGTGGAAGACAGGCCCTCATTCACAGAGCTGGGAGGTTTGAGCCAACGCTTGCATCCAAGGCTTCCACCTCCCCAGGTTTCCAAAAGCAGAGATAAGAGGGGTCCTTTACTCACCAGATTTGGAGCTTGGTTCTGTGGGTGAAGGCCAACTACTTGAAGGGTTTCCTAGAACATGGGACAGGAGAGATGTGAGGAAATGAGGGTGCTTGTCCTCTACTCAATGGAAATCTTTGAGGTTGGTTCATGGCCAACACTCTGTTATCTAATGTTGGACCCTGGGAGTCTTGGGATCCTCTTCTCCATAATTTTTGTGTGCGATGCCCACTGTCTTGAGACTTGAAGGTATAAAGAGAAAACAGGAGCATCACACTACCTGACTTAGAAATATGTTACAGAGCTGTAGTAAGCAAAACAGCATGACATTGGCATAAAGAAAGGCACATAAAAAATGGAACAGAATGGAGAACACGGATATGATCCATGCATTTACACCCAATGGCTTTTTTTTGTGTGTGTGTGATGGAATCTTGCTCTGTCATGCAGGCTGGAGTGCAGAGGTGCAATCTCAGCTCAATGCAACCTCCACTTCCTGGATTCAAGCAATTCTCTTGCCTCAAACACCCGAGTAGTGGTATTACAGGCACTGGTCACCATGCTCAGCTAATTTTTGTATTTTTAGTAGAGACGAGGTTTCACTCTGTTGGCCAGCCTGGTCTTGAACTCCTGGCTTCAGGTGATCCACCCGCCTCGGCCTCCCAAAGTGCTGGAATTGCAGGTGTGAGCCACCATACCCAGCCCATTTAATGGACTTTGACAAAGGTGCCAAGAACTCACAATCAGGAAAGGACAGTCTTTTCAATAAATGGTGTGGGGAAAACTGGATATCTACATGCAGAGGAATAAAACTGCATCTATACCTGTCACCATAAACAAAAATCAAATGAAAATGGATTAAAAACATGAGTCTAAGGCCTGAACCTATGAAACATGTAGAAGAAAATAATGGGGAAGACATTTGTCTGACGAAAGACATTTTGTTTAAAACCTTCAAAACACAAGTAATCAAAGCAAAAAATAGACCATTAGGATTACATCAAACCAAGCAACTTCTGCACCACAAAAGATAAACCAAGAAAGTGAAGAGACAACCCACAAAATAGGAGCAAATATTTGCAAACTATTCATCTGAGACGGGATTAATAACTGGAAATATAAGAAGCTCAAACAACTCAATAAAACAATTTAATTAAAAAACGAGCAAAAGACATGAGGAGACATTTCTCCACAAACAAAACATAGAAATGGCGATCACGTATATGAAAAAGTACTCGGCATCACTCATCATCAGAGAAATGTAAATTACAATCGCGATGAGTTTTCATCTCATCCCATTAAAATGCCTTTTAGGCCGGTGGCTCACGCCTGTAATTCCGGCACTTCAGGAAGCGGAGGTGGGCGGATCACCTGAGGTCGGGAGACCAGCCTGACCATCATGGAGAAACTCCCTCTCTACTAAACATACAAAAATTAGCTAGGCGTGGTGGCACACGCCTGTAATCCCAGCTACTTTGGAGGCTGAGGCAGGAGAATCAGTTGAACGCGGGAGGCGGAGGTTGCAGTGAGCTGAGATCACACCCTTGCACTCCAGCCTGGGCGACTATGAGTGAAACTCCATCTCAACATAAATAAATAAATAAAATAAAGTAAAGTAAAATGGCTTTTATCTGCAAGACAGGCAAAACAAATGCTGGCAAGATGGTAGAGAAAGGAGAACCCTGGTACCCTGTTGGTAGGAATGTAAATTAGTACAACTATTATGGAGAAAAGTATGGAAATTCTTTAAAAAACTAAAAGGAGGCTGGGCATAGTGGCTTATGCCTGTAATTTCAGCACTTTGGGAAACCGAGGCAGGCACCTCACTTGAGGTCAGGAGTTTGAGAGCAGCCTGCCCAAAATTGGGATATCCCGTCTGTGCTAAAAAAATACAAAAATTAGCCAGGCATGGTGGCATGCACCTGTAATCACAGCTACTAGGGAGGCTGAGTCAGGACAATCATTTGAACCTAGGAGGCACAGGTTGCAATGAGCCAAGATCTCACCACTTAGACTCCAGCTTGGACTAAGGAGGGAAACTCTTTCTCAAAAAAGAAAAAAAAAAAAAAGAGAACTTTCATAGTATCCAGCAATTTCACTACTGGGTTTATATCCAAAGGAAAGGACATCAGTGTATCGAAGTGATATCTGCACTCATATGACTGTTCCAGCACTGTTCACAGTAGCCAAGATGTGGAGTCAACCTACCTGCCTATCAGTGGGTGAATGGATAGAGAACTGTGGTACACACACACAGTGGAGACTACTCATCCATAGAAACAATAACATCCTGTCATTTGCAGCCACATGGATGGAACTGGAGGTCATTACAAAGATTCCCATTTCTCACCCACATGCAGGAGATAAAAGGTGGATCTCATGAAGGTGGAGAATACAATGGTGGACACCAGAGGCCAGGAAGGGAAGGGTGGAGGGTAACAAAAAAAAGAATATAGATGTATTTATTTATTTAGAAACAGAGTCTCTCTCTGTCTCCCAGGCTGCAGTGCAGTGGCATGATCTCGGCTCAGTGCAACCTCGGCCTCCTGGCTTTAAGTGCTTCTCCTGCCTCAGCCTCCCAAGTAGCTAGGACTACAGGTGCATGCCAGCATGCTCGGCTAATTTTTCTTGTCTGTTTAGTAAAGATGAATTTCCCACATGTTGGCCAGGGTGATCTCGAGTTCCTGATCTTAAATGATCCACCTTCCTTGGCCTCTCAAAGCGCCGAGATTACAACTGTGAACCACCACGCCCAGCATATAAAGGTATTTATGACCACTAGATTTTACTTTTAAAAATGGTAAAGGTGGTAAATTATATAGTTACATTTAACCTCAATAAATATTTTTGAAAATGAAAAGAAAAGGGTGTAGGGGTTGCTGGTGATGATATCTCTCTGTGTGGGTGAGAGGCCATGATGGGCTTCTGGGAAATGGGTAAGATTGAGGGGCTGAGGGAACCTCTGATCTCCCCAAACTAAGCCCAGTCTCCCCTTCTCTGGGTCTGTCCTGACCGCTTTCTCCATCTGCCTGGGTGCCTGGAGCCCTGATCGGAGGCCTCCATGCAGGCCATGAAGGAGGGTTTGGAGGTGCCCTGTCTGCCATCCTGCGCCCTGACTCCGCCCTCACACCTGCTGTGTCTTCTCTCTGCATCTGTCCATGCTTTTCTCCATCATCAGCAGGAAGCTCCTTAGCTAAGGATTTAGGATCATAGGACATGAGAGAGATATGGGCTTTTCTCACCTGTGACAGAAACAAGCAGTGGGTCACTCGGGTCTGACCACTCGTAGGGAGAGTGACGGAAAGAGCCGAAGCATCTGTAGGTCCCTCCGTGGGTGGCAGGGCCCAGAGGGAAATCTGCCTGGAATGTTCTGTTGACCTTGCGCACTGCAGGGAGCCTACGTTCATGGGCTCCCCCCTCCCTGGATAGATGGTACATGTCATAGGAGCTCCGGGAGCTACAGGACAAGGTCACGCTCTCTCCTGCCTGAACCTTGGGGCCCGGCTGGGCTGAGAGAGAAGGTTTCTCATATAGACCTGGAAGGAGAAGAGGCAGTTTCCTCAGGGAGGTTCTTCCTTGTCACAGCTCCCCTCACACCTGAGCTGAGAACTCACTCCCCTGCTCTATGACCTAATGCTCTCTCTCTCTCTCTCACTCTCCACCCCATCTCTCTTCATATCTGTTTCCTCCTTCTACCTTTTCTGTCTCTCTAGGTCTATGACCTCACTTCCCCACCCTGAGGTATGTTTTCCCTTTTTGGATTGTTTTATTCTCTCTGACCCTCCTTGGATTGGTTGACTTGATCTTCCTTTTTCTTTAATTTTGAGTCTCTCACTTTCTGTCTTGTTCATAACTTTCTGCACATTTCTATCTATTATCTATCGATCTATCTATTTATCTATTTTGTGTCTATCTACAAATTATCTATCATCTATATTTATGTATCACTTATCTATCTCTCTATCAATTGTCTATCTGTCTATCTATCCATCAATCATCTATTATCTATATATGTATCATCTATCTCTCTCTCTATTACCTCTCTGTCTGCCTCTCTGTCTCTATTTATGTATCATCTATGTATATATCTATGTGTCTATCATCATCATCGTCATCATCATCATCTCTATGTATCATCTATCAGTCATCATCTATGTATCTATAACCAATCCATTATCTATCATCTACCTATTTATCATCTATCTACGTCTATCTATCCATCTATCATCTCTCTCTCTCCGTCTCCTTGTCTTTCTCTGCCTCTCAGTCTCTCTAGTTCTATTTGGAATCTCTGCAATCCATCCCCACATCTTTATCTTTCTCTGTCTTTGTGTCCCTCCCTCAGGGTTCTGATTTTGGGGCTTTTCTCTCCTCCTTTCCATCATTCTCTCCACTCTGCCCTCTTTTCTTTCTTTTTATGTGTCTGTGAATCTCTTAATCTCCTTCTTCTGGCTCATTTTGTGTGTGTTTATGTCTTTGCTTTTTGGTGTCCCTGATTTTTCTCTGTGTCTCTCAGCGATCCTATCATATGTGGGATTATTTGGAATATGAGCCTCAGAATCCAGTCTGGGGACCCCAAGTTCACACAGCATACAGGGGTTGGTGTTCTGGGGCCATGATATCCTGGGATGATTACTCTCCATTGCATGGAAGGCAGAGGTGTCAGAATAAACACGGCATCTGTAGGTGGCACAAGGCCTGAGGCCACAGGGCCCAACTCAGGTCAGAAATATGGGTGTCCTTGGGTTCTTCTGGTAGAAACACTTTGTGGAGGTAAAACAGAAATGAAACTTCTAACCTGTGCCAGGTCTCTGAGCAAAGTCAGCATGGAAGGACACCTCTCTCTGGGACATGTCTGTCTGTCTGAGTGTCTCCTTTACCTCTTTCTCTCTTTTCTACCTCCCTGTATGGCCCCTGTGTCTGTCCCCTGTTATGACACCTGTTCTGTACTTATGTCTCCTGTTTCTCTGTCTCTGTTGGTACAGACCTCACCAAGTCACTCTCTTTCCATAAGAATCCCACACTTATCTTCCTCATGACCACCTGGGGGTTCCAAGTCCTGGATCATTCACTCTGTGTCCCAGTGACAATGAGAACAATGTCTAGACACTCTCACCTGTGACCACGATGTCCAGGGGATCACTGGGAGCTGACAACTGATAGGGGGTGTGAGTAACAGAACCGTAGCATCTGTAGGTCCCTGCAAGGGCACGCATCATGGAACCGATGGAGAAATTGGCCTTGGAGACCCCATCATGGATCTGTCCAACGAGGCGTGAGGGGTCCTTAGAGATCCACTCTTTGTGCAGAAAGAAGTGCTCAAACATGATATCTGACCAACATTGCAGGATGACTCTCTCTCCTGATTTCACCAGGGGACCTGGGTGGGCCAGGAGGGAAGGTTTTCTGTGGTTTCCTAGAAAGAGAAGTTGTGAGTTTAGAAGGCATCTCTCTTTATCATCCCATCCATGGCACCTGGAATGAGTGAGGGTTCCCCTCCCCGTGTCTGTCTCTCTCCTCCCTCTCTGCATCTCCGTGTCTTTTCTGTGCCCATATCCCCTGGTGCAGGTGCCTCCATCTGTCTTCCTCCCTCTTCTCTGTCCCTCTGTCTCCAGTAGCCCCTGACTCCCTTGCCACTGTGAAGACAGCCTCATCTCTTGGGCTGTTGTATCTGTTTCCCACTAATCTCTTTCCTGCTGTTTATATGGGGGTGGAAGAGGACAGGCTGCATGTCCAGGCTCTTAGCAGCCTGAATCAATCTCTTTTGAACAAATTGGAGTCTCTGGCAGGTGGTATCAACTCATCAGTAAGACAGACATCAGTGACCACACACCCTGTTCCTGATGGGGATTGGGAGCCTCTCCTGCCATGTCTGTGCCTTCTCCATGGCCCCAGCTTCCATAGGGTGGCCCCTGGTGCTGGTTCCAGGAGCATCAACCCCTTCCTATGTGGATGGAGCCTGGTGGTAACATCAGCATCCTGCCCTTGCTGATCTCAGGGTAGCCAACCTTCTCCTTGTTTGGTTTCTTTAATTAATTGATTAATTAATTTATTTTTGAGACAGTCACTTTTTCACCCAGGCTGGAGTGTAGTGGTGTTGTCTTGGCTCACTGAAACCTCTGCCTCCCCAGTTCAAGTGATTCTCTTGCCTCAGCCTCCCCAGTCGTTGGATTACTCGCGCCCACCACCACACCTGGCTGTCCTTGTTTGGTTTCCTAACTTGTCCTTGACCTGGGTTCCTAACTTGTCCTTGACCTGGGTTCCTGTGTTGGTTTCCTGTTGCTGCTGCAGAAAATTACCACAAACATGGCAGCAGGAGAGAACACACTGACCCCTTCCACTTCTGGAGACAGAAATTGGATCCAGTTCTCCCTGTGCTGAAATCAAGGCGTCTACAGGGCTGCGTTCCCTCTGGAGAATCAGCGAATCAGTTCTCCTGACTTCTCCAGCCCTTAGAGGCCACCTGCATTCTGTGACTAGTGGTCTTCCTCCACTTTCAAAGCCCGCAGTGGCTGATAGCGTCTCCCTCCCACTACACTGCTCTAATCCCCACTCCCCTCTTCCTCCACCTCTCACGCGGACCCTTGTGATTACACTGAGCCCAGTGGGACAGTCCAGGCTGTCTCCCCATCTCAAGGTCAACTCATCAACAACCTGAGCTCCACCTTCCCCTTCAGTCCCCTGCCCTATAACATAAATAGTCACAGGCTCCAGGGATTACAATGTAGCCATCATTGGGGACAGTTATTCTTCCCACCACAGCACCCATTTGCCCTGTATTCAATCTCCCTTGACCCCAAATACAGCCAGGGCCTGGGTGATGGGACCCTGACGGACAGCCCCACCAGAAGCTCTGGGATTCAGGAGGTGGGACAGTGAGAAGCCCAGACGGAAAGCCTCTGACCTGTGACCATGATCACCATGGGGTTGCTGGGTGCCGACCACCCAGTGGGGGAGTGTGGGTGTGAACCCCGACATGTGTAGTTCCCTGCATGTGCTGTGGTCACAGGGCTCATGTTGAAGCCCTCCTGGAATATTCTGCCATGGAAGATGGGAACGTGGATTCTGTCTTCTTTGTATAGCATGAAATTGTTAAACCTATGACGATAGTGACACCGAAGAGTCACGTGTCCTCCGCGAGGCACCACAGCGCTGGGCCAGGCAGACAGGAAGGGCTTGTCCTGACCACCTGGGGGAGAAGGAGGCACTGCCTTAGAGAGGAGGATGTGGAGCCGCCCCTCACTCCCAGTGCCCAGAAGATTCTCCCCATTTCCACTTTCTAAGGCTCCTACCACACCTGGGTGCCCAGGGCTACAGGAAGGACCCATCCTGCATAGACATGGCGTCTCCCTACAACAAGTGTCAGCTGAGAACTTTGAGCAAGTGCTGGAGAAGCAACTCTTACTAGATTTTAATACTGCAAAATTACTCATATAAAACAATACAAAGTAGACACGGCATGGAGGGCAAGTCCTATGTGAATGGAATATCAGCCAATTGATGAACTGAGCCCCCATCAGAGGATTTGGAATGTCAGGGCCATGGCTGTGGTTTCCTCACCTTTTCTGGTAGAAAGACCGCAGCCACACTGCAGCCCCTACCATCACGGAAACGCTGGAGGGTGTGAGTTACACCTTTGTCCTCAGAGGACCTGCTGTTCCTAGCACTGCTTCCCTCTCTTTCTCTGCTGCTGACACCACTTCCTCCCTGCACACCCATCTTGGAGCACCCTAGTCTCACCCCAGTCTTCACAGAGCTTGACTCAGGAAAGGGAAAGAAAGGCCGGGGAGGGCAAGGTCAGAAATGTGGGCCGAGCATCCGAGGGTCCCCTCTTCCTAGTGTATGAGAGACTCCCCGACAGGACTTCCCTCCCATTTCAGGAAAATCCTCTTATGTGGGGAGATGACACCCTAAGGTTTGGGGAAGGACTCACCCATGTGTGGACCGGCCCTCTGGACCAAGAACAACCCTAGAAAGAAAGATCATGATGGACCATCCATCTGCAGGCAAACCAGGGCACCCTGCTGCCCCCACTGGGTTGTGCGTCTTGGCAGCCAGGCCCTTGCTGGGCTGAAGGTAAACTCACCCTCGCTGCCTACCTGCCCCCAGGAACAAGGATCTCGGCTGTGCAGAGACTCAGCCTCCAGGCCCAGATCTCTACCTCCAGGCCTAGATCTACACAACAGGCCCAGATCTCCACTCCAGGTCCGTATCTCCACTCCAGACCCATATCTCCTCTCCAGGCTGATAAGTCCACTCCAGGCCCATATCTCCACTCCAGGCTCCTATCTCAACTCCAGGCTCATATATCCACTCCAGGCTCATATCTCCACTCCAGGCCCATATTTCCACTCCAGGCTTCTATCTCCTCTCCAGGCCCATATCTCCTTTCCAGGCTTGTATGTCTGCTCCAGGCCCGTATCTCCACCCCAGGCCCATATCTCCACTCCAGGATCATATCTCCACTCCAGGCCCAGATCTCCACTTCATGCCCTTAACTCCACCTCCGGGCCCATAACTCCACCTCTAGGCCCATATCTCCACTCCAGGCCCATATCTCCACTTCAGGCCCATATCTCTACTGCAGGCCCATAACTCCACCTCCAGGCCCATATCTCCACTCCAGGCCCATCGCTCCACTTCTAGGCCCATCACTCCACCTCTAGGCCCACATCTCCCCTCCAGGCCCATATCTCCCCTCCAGGCCCATATCTCCACCCCAGGCACATATCTCCACCCCAGGCCCATATCTCCACTCCAGGCCCAGATCTCCACTCCAGGCACATATCTCCACCCCAGGCCCCTATCTCCACTCCAGGCCCAGATCTCCACTCCAGGCCCAGATCTCCACTTCAGGCCCATAACTCCACCTCCAGGCCCATAACTCCACCTCTAGGCCCATATCTTTACCTCCAGGTCCAGATCTCCATCCCCGCACTCCCTCCCTCGATTCCCTTCCAGGACTCACCAACACACGCCATGCTGACGACCATGAGCAACATGGTGCTGCCGGTGCAGACAGGCGGCTGCGCCCCAGCTCAGCTCAGCAGCGCACAGGATGTTATTTGGCGCCCTGCCCATGCAGTTTACATGTTGACCACATCATGGGAGGGTGACGTACGCAGGCTCTTTCTACCTTGCATGAGGCCCAGTGGGTGCTCGCTCAAGAGCGGAGCATGGCTTCCTGGAAATTGCTCTCACTAGAATTGACACCTCGCGTCCTTCACTATGACCAACTCAAAACACGTCTCAGATCCAACCTCCTGAACACGAGATGCCTAAAATCTGTGCTAACATGAAAGACTTTTCATGTATTTTTATTGCTTTTATCTGAGATTCAAACTCTTCTTCCTGTGTAATATGCAAAATATCTAATAGGTATTATTAAGGTTTTCAGAGCAATTGTGACAATAAACCATTAGAATTTTTCATGATTGTATTTCTAGTATTACAGCAGAACCAGTTCAAATGATTTAAACTCCCAGGGAAGGATTATGCAATTATTTACAATCTTAGAATTGTACTTTATCAGCAAAAATCACAACATGTAAATTCTGGATTTTTGTAGATTTATCTAGAATTTGTCTCATGTCCCAAGATTCCAGAGTTCCAACTCATGGTTTGCTCTCTCTCTGTCTCTCTGCCTCCCTCATTTTAAATTTTACAGAAATATCCAGTAACATAATGCTATAGAAAATCAATTTCCCCAGCACTTTGGAAGCCGAGGTGAGTGATCAACCGAGGTCAGGAGTTTGAGACCAGCCTGGCCAATATAGTGAAACCATGTCTCTGCTAAAAATACAAAAATTAGCCATGCCTGGTAGCAGGCACTTGTAATGCCAGCTATTCAAGAGGCTGAGGCACGGAATCCCTTGAACCTGGGAGGCAGAAGTTGCAGTGAGCCGAGATCGTGCCACTGCACTCCAGCCTGGGCAACAGAGCGAGACTCTGCCTCAAGAAAAATAAAAAAAGCATAGCAAATAGCCTATAATAAATAACTAGAGGACTCCAGCTACCAAATTTTAGGGGTTGTATAAGGCTGCATAAAATGCAGCATTCTCAAGAGAGTGGACAGAGAGAGAGCCACTGAGCAGAAAACAGTGTCTAAAATACATCCGTGTACACACAGTCCCTTTATAGTTGACAAAGGCTGCCATGTGGTTTAAGGTGGAATAGAATGTCTTCTCAATAAATAACATGGGCCCAAGGGTTACACATGGAGAAAAATATATCTAAAAGTATTCTCACACTATAAAACACTTGTTTATTTTATCTTGTTATTGTAATTTTTTTATGTTTTATATTTAAAATTGAGAAATAAAAATTATATACAGTCATCCCTCATTATTCGTGGGTGATTGGTCTCAGGATCTCCACTCAGATAGCACAATCTGCAGATGCTCAAGCCTCTTACATGAAATGGCACAGCATTTGCAAATAACCCATGCACATCCTCCTGTGTACATGAAATCATCCCTTGATTATTTATAATTCCTGATACAGCCTACACACAGCTTCATTTGTGTCCATTCAACATAGTTTTGCTTTTTGAAACTTTGTGGATTTTTTCTCTGAATATTTTTGATTTATATTTGGTTCAATAAACACCTGTAAATCCCACAGATACAGAGGACCGACTGTATATTTATAGTATGAAAGATGATGTGTTGATATGTGTCCCCGTGGAGATGAGACTAACAAGGCCTATGACTCTACAAATGTTTCATCATGGAATGACTCTGCCAGCTTTCCAGGTCTGCAGAGAGTAAGAATATCACTTGTTCATGTGATTCACGATCCTTGGAACCTCTTATGTGCTGCATCTTTGGATGGAAATTGGAGTCTCAGAGACAAATGAGGCTCCACCCTGCTTCCAGAAGCTCAGAGTCCAGGGGTGAGAACCCAGTGGAGAACAGTTGGAGTTATTTGGACATGGTAATGATAACACTGGAAACTTTCAGCCAAAAAAAGAGTCACCTAAAGAATGAAGGCAGACATGTTTATTTGAAGAGGAGAGAACTACACTGAAATCAAAAAAATTTTATAAGGTTTGCTGATGCCAGAAGGCTGAAAAATAGTCTGAGGAAAGGTGGAACAGCACGAGGGAAGGTGGAACAGCACGTGTCTAAGTGCCGTGTTAAGAGAGAGCCTCTTGTATGTTTGGAATTGTGAGTTCCTCAGTGTGATTGCAGCCTCAAGTAGACTAGGAAGTAAGCCAGTTAGGTTGGAGAGGTGGGCAGGGGTCAAGTGAAATAGAGAATTGTGGGCTAAGCAAAGGAGTGTGTTTTCTCTGCAGCAGGCAGTGGGGACCTTAGACATTGGTAAGCAAGAGACAGGCACCAGATTTGTGGTGTGAGGAAGAGTGATGCTCTAAGATGGAGACTCACGCCTTCAGATTCCAGCTGCTGGTACATTAGAGCTGGCAAGCTGGGTTTGAGACAGGGCTGTTGTCTCCCTAGAAGATCCCATCAAGGCCTGACTGTGGTGCTCATGGGCAGGAGACAACGCTCTGGGCTCAGCATTTGGAAGTTCTATACACACGCTGGTATCTGTTGAGGGTCTCTTGCTCCTCTGAGAAGGGCCAGTGATTTTTCTCTGTGTGAAAATGCAGTGATCCAACTGTGCGTATGTCACCTCCTGAGGGTCTTGTTCATCAGAGTCCTGGAGAGAGGGAAATCCTGAGTGAGGGAGGGTGTTCACATTTTTCAGGACTATTAGGGAATAAGACTGTATCCATGAGGCTGGGCTAGGAGGACCTACCTCCCTGTTCACTGTTCTGTGTCCCGCAGGCTCTTGGTTCATTACAGCAGCATCTGTAGGAGACGGAAGCAATCGAAACAGCTGGGAGGGCACTTCTGGGTCCTCATTTCATGAACAGATACCAACACACAGGGGGAGGCCATAGGTGCCTGAGGTCCCTCAGCTGCCAACAGCCAGACTCAGACATTCCATCTCTCTGAGTGCAAGACCCCATTCCATGAATAGCTGTCAGTTCCCATCCCATTGATTCTATCTCCCACTTTCTGCCTGTCATGGAATCTTCTCCTGGATGTGAGTGGCTGCAGGGGACGTGAGGATACAGTTCACAATCAGGCAATGGTCTGTGAGCTGAAGGCAGGGGCAGGTTGTCTGGTGCTCTCTCTAGAAAGCTCTGCCTCTGGCTCCTGCCTTGGGCCAGAGACTTTCCTGCCAGTGAGGAACACACACCTGCGTGCTCCCATCCTGCTTCCGCACAGGGCCCTGAGTTCTCTGGCCTCTGCTTCGTGAGGCTTACTTTTTTTTTTGGAGCACCAGCGATGAAGGAGAAAGAAGGGAAGGATGGTGAAGAGGATGATGGCCACTGAGTACCTAATCACAGCATGCAGGTGTCTGGCGATACCTGGAGGAAGATGAGAATCCAATAAGAAGCTAACCATAGCAGTTCCTCTTTGTGGATTGTCTCTCATTTCTTGGTTGCCAGGCAACCACATAAAACACCTCTTTAGGACAAGCACCCACGAGGCGGGAGACCCAGCTTTCTCCTGCTTTCTCCGTTATAGTTTTCATAATAACAATAGAATGTGCTGATGATACAACTGCTATTGTTTCAATGTTTGACCCCTCCAAACCCCACTTTGAAATTTAATCCCCAGTGTGGGAGGTTGTGCCTATTGGGAGGGGTGTTTTGGTCATGGGGGTGGATCCATCATGAATAGATTAATGCTGTCCCCAGAGGACGGGGTTAGCAAGTTCTCCCTCTATTAGTACCCTGGAGAGTTGATTCTTAAAAAGAGCTTGGAAGCTCCATCACACCCCCTTTCTCCCTCTCTTGCCATGTGATCTCTGTGGTCTCTGCACACGCAGGACCCCCTTCTCTTCTGTCAGTGTGGGAGCAGCCTGAGGCCGCAGCCAGAAATAGATGGTAGTGTCCTGCTTCTAGTACAGCGTGCAGATCAGTGAGCCAAACACATCTCTTTTCTTTAGAAGATACCCAGGCTCAAGTGTTCTTTTATAGCAACAAAAATAGGCTAAGACAGCAACATCCTGAGATCAGGAGGAACGTCTCAGAACAGCCTGGGCTGTCTTCCTGTTCTTCCTGGAGGAGAACATCATGCAGTGCTTTAGCTGAGTGTTCCCTGTGGCTCCAGGGTACAAAACCCAGGCTGGGCTGCTTTCTGGCTTCCCCCAGCTACAGTGCACATGAAGTGACTCCATGTGTCCTGAGCAGTTTTTCTGAGCCTTGAGGGACTGGCTCACCCTGAAAGGAAGGTTTCTGTTGTCACTCGCTGCTTATCTATAAGTAATGAACCTGCCTATGTAATGTATTCCCTGTGTGTTCTGTCTCCCTGGAGTGATGGTGAGTGATAGAAATTGGCACAGCCCCAGGTGCAGTATGGGAGGTGTTTAGAGTCTTCTCTGGGAAGACTGGACTGGGATTGATACACAGTGAATGTGCTTTACAGTTTCTACATCCACAACCCTCTTGACTCAAACAAATTACATTCTCCAAGAAAAGGAAAAAACAGTGACATTGAAATCAACATAAGTGAGGTTGAGCTGTCTTATATCAAACAGCCAGGAAATAATGATGAAGCTCGTGGGCAACATGCTACTTTTGTCATCTTGGGAGTCAGATATTAGGCTGCTGTTCCACCCGAGAGTCTGGGGGAAAGACCACCCCCTCCATCATCTGTTGCTTCAATACAGCCTGTCTTTCTGTGAATTACTCCAAAAGGTGACCAGGAGATAGTGCTGGCACTGGTCTCTGAGTCTACGATCTGAACTCCAAAGAATATTAGTTTTTACCTCCCCATGATCTATCTGTATCATTAATGTGATTGGAAGTAGGGGTGAGGTGGGGGATTTGGGTGAAGGGGCAAGTTTTGTGCCATGAACAGATCACGTTCTCTATTCCAGGACCTGCGCTGGTGGGTTTCACATTTTCCATATGATCTCATGCTCACAGAAAGCCAAATAAGGAAGATGTTTTCGCCTGATTTTCTTATGGATAGGATAAAGGATCAAAGAAGTCATTATAGAGAAATAGAAAAATGATGATTGGAATTGGTGTGCCTTTGTCATTCGTGTATGTTATATTATATTTATGTATTCTTTATTTTTATTTTTTGCCATGGAGTCTCACTCTGTCACCTAGGGTGCAGTGCAATGACGCGATCTTGGCTCACTGTAACCTCTCCCTCCCTGGTTGAAGCCATTCTCCTTCTTCAACTTCCCGAATAGCTGGTATTACAGGCATGCGCCACCACCCCCAGCTAGTTTTTGTATATTTAGTAGAGATGGGGTTTCACCATGTTGTCCAGGCTGATCTCGAACTCCTGATCTCACTTGATCCAGCCTCCTCAGCCTCCCAAAATGTTGGGTTACAGGTGTGAGCCACCGTTCAGAACCTTGTGTGTTATATTATAATAGGTCTCTTCCTTTGCACCACCCCTCATGTATCTCTCACTCCTCTGCCAAGTATTGATTTACATGTAGGAAAAATAAATCTCAGAAAGAAATCAATGAAGTGAAGATTAAACAATTAGGAAAAATCAAAGCAGGCAAGCCCTCCCTGCAAATTACTCTACCTCACAAACACATCTTGTGTCCATCTTTCATTCATTTAGTGTCTAAATCAGCACCACATTTCACCAGGGGGGCGGGAATTGCCTTTTCCACAGTCTCCTAGATTCCAGTTATGCACCTGGGCCTCCCTTATTTTCATGTCAGTCACTATTCATCATGTAGGGATTCCCAGTTAGCCCCGAGGTAAGTCCAATGGCTGTGAGTGTCAAACACACGCTCCTTGTTCCTCCTTAGTTTCCTGTGTACCCAGAGTGCTCTCTGTCTCTCCACAGTCGTCTTGTCATTCTCCCCATCTCATTCCCAGCATTTCAGGCAGAGCCTCTTCCTTCCACATAACATTGTTTTCACCTTTGTGCCTTCACGGCTGACAGCTGTGTGGAAAATCCTTCCGCCAATCTTCCAGGGGTTGATCTATTTTTTTCATTAAGGTCACAAGTATTATTTGATCAGTGAGAACTTCTCTGTCACCCGAAATTATACACTCAGCATTATCTATTATTTCTTTTAAAATACGGCTCGGCGCCTTGGCTCACGCCTCGAATCTCAGCACTTTGGGAGGCTGAGACGGGCGGATCCCTTAAGGTTGGGAGTTTGAGATAGCCTGGGCAACATGGTAAAACCTTGTCTGTACTAAAAAAAAAATACCAAAAAAAAATTAGCCAGGCGTGGTGGGACATGGGTGTAATCCCAGCCTCTCGGGAAGCTGAGTGTAGAGAATCGCTTTAACCTGGGAGGTGGAGGTTGCGGTGAGCCGAGATCCCGCCACTGCACTCCAGCCTGGGGCACAGAGGGAGACACCGTCTCATAAAAACAACCAATCAATCAATCATTCTCATGCACAGATGCTTCCCAATGGATCATTCATTTATTGGTCCACTGGTGCATTCATTTTCTGCCCTCCCATTTAATCCTTTGCAATATCAGTGTCCAAGAGCAGAGGCCAAATGCACCTTGTTTACCATTTGTGGAAAGGATAAGAATGCCGCCCCACCCCAAAATGTTCCTGTCCTAGTCGCCATATCTTGTGAATATGTTATTTTACATGGAAAAAAGGAATGCAGATTGCAGATGGAATTACGGTTGCTAATCAGCTAACCTTAAAAGGAGGGTATCCTAGATGATTTTAGGGAAATTATGATGGATTATCTTGGTGTTTCCAATAGAATGCCAAAGTCCTTAAAAGATGAGGAAGAAGGCAGAGCAGCATTCAGAGAAAGAGGTGTGGACAAGGAAGAAGGGTCTGAGTGATGCCGTGTGAGAGGCGTGACCAGCCTTTGTGGACTTTGAGGGAGGAAGACGGGGACCAGGAGCCAAGGAATGTGGGAGCCTCTAGGAGCTGGGAAAAGTGAGGAAGCAGATTCTTGCCTGGAACATTCAGAGGGAAGGCAGCCTTGCTGTCACCTTGATTTTAGCCCAGTGAGATGATGCATTTCATACTTCTGAGCTACAGCACCATGAGATATTTTTTTAAAATGTGGTTTCCATCCACGAAGCTTGTGGAAATTTGTTATGGCAACATAGGAAAAGGTTCCACACTGCACAGTCTGAGCATGGGGCAGTGGCTGAACGAGTAAGTGGAAGTGTCATGTGCACGGATGAACTACGTTCTCTCTTACCGCAAAGCTCTTGTTCCACTAAGTCAACCAGGGTTGGATCATGACAGACAGGAGCTCATTCCTTGGCAAGTAGAACTTCTCTACAAATACACCACCCTCAAAAATGTTCCCCGTCCTTCCCCTTCTCAAGCCCCCAGGCATTTGTCCTCCCAGTTAGGAATGCAGGCAGAACAAACACAGCATTTTTCCTGAGAAGAATGTCTGATTTGCACTCATCCTTCTACCCTGAGGTCTCAGCAGCAGAAAATTAGAGATTAAGAGATTTCACTGAGCCCTGTGCTGGGCCCAGATCCCTTTCGCTGTTGGAGTGTCTGGGGTTCAGAGACAATGGAAGACAGGCCCACAATCACAGAGCTGGCAGGTGCTGAGCCAACGCTTGAATCCAAGGCTTCTACCTCCCCAGGTTTCCAAAAGCAGAGATAAGAGGGGTCCTTCACTTACCAGTTTTGAAGCTTGGTTCAGTGGGTGAAGGCCAACTACTAGAAGGGTTTCCTAGAACATGGGACAGGAGAGAGGTGTGGCAATGAGGATGCCTGTCTTCTACTCAATGGAAATCTTTGAGGTTGGTTCATGGCCAACATTCTATTATCTAATGTTGGGCCCTGGGAGTCCTGGCATCCCATTCTCCATAATCATTGTAGGTGACACCAACTATCTTGAGACTTCAAGGTATAAGGAGAAAACAGGAGCATCACACTACCTGACTTAAAAATATGTTACAGAGCTGTAGTAAGCAAAACAACATGACATTGGCATAAAGAAAAGCACATAAAACAATGGAGCAGAATGAAGAACACGGATGTAATCCACCCATTTACATCCAATGGACTTTGACAAAGGTTCGAAGAATCTACAATCTGGAAAGGACAGTCATTTCAATAAATGGTGCAGGGAAAACTGGATATCTACATGCAGAGGGATGAAACTGCACCTCTACCTCTCACCATACACAAAAATCAGATGAAAATGGATTAATGACTTAAGACCTGAATCCATTAAATGTCTAAAAGGAAACACTGGAGAAATGCTCCAGGACATTTGTCTGAGGGAAGACATTTTGTTTAAAACCTCAAAAACACAAGTAATCACAACAACAACAAAAAAATAGACCATTGGGATTATATCAAATCAAGCAGCTTCTGCACCGCAAAGGAAGCAACCAATGAAGTGAAGAAGAGACAACCCACAGAATGGGAGCAAATATTTGCAAACTATGCATCTGAGATGGGATTAATAACTAGAATATAAAAGAAGCTCAAACACCTCAATAAAACTAATAATTTAATTATAAAATTAGTAAAAGACCTGAACAGACATTTCTCAATGAACAAAACATACAAATGAACATATATACATTGCATATATGAAAAAGTGCTCAGTATCACTAATCATCAGAGAAATGCAAATGAAGTCACAATGAGCTATCATCTCACCCCATTACAATGGGTTTTATCTCAGAGACAGACAAAACAAATGTTGGCAAGGTGGTGGAGAAAGGAGAACCCTGATACACTGTTGATAGGAATGTAAATTAATACAGCCATTACAGAGGAGAAGAATATGGAAGTTCCTTAAAAACTAAAAAGAGATTAGGCACTGTGGCTCACGCTTGTAATCCCAGCACCTTGGGAGGCTGAAGTGGGCAGATCACTGGAGGTCAAGAGTTCGAGACCAGCCTGGCTAACATGGTGAAACCCCGTCTCTACTAAAAATACAAAAATCAGCCAGGCGTGGTGGCGGGCACCAGTAATCCCAACTACTCGGGAGGCTGAGGCTGGAGAATCACTTGAATCCTGGAGGTAGAGGTTGCAGTGAGCCCAGGTGGTGCCATTGCACTCCAGCTTGGGCAACAAGAGTGAAACGCTATGTCAAAAAAACAAAAAGCATAAAACAAAACCTAAAAAGAGAACATCCAGAGGATCTAGCAATTCCACTAGTGGGTGTAAATGCAAAGAAAAGGACTTCAGTGTATTGAAGTGACATCTGCACTCCCATGACTGTTCCAGCACTGTTCACAGTAGCCAAGATGTGGAGTCAACCTACCTGCCCATCAGTGGATGAATGGATAGAGAGAATGTAGTACATACACACAATGGAGACAACTCATCCATACAAAGAGAAACGTCCTGTCATTTGCAGCCACATGGATGGACTGGAGGTCATTACAAGGATTGCCATTTCTTACTCACATGCAGGATGTAAAAGGTGGACCTCATGAAGGTAGAGAGTAGAATGGTGGATACCAGAGGTTAGGAAGGAAGGGGTGGAGGGTAACAAAAGAAGAATATAAAAGTATTTATTTATTTATTTAGAGACAGAGTCTCTCTGTGTCACCAGGCTGCAGTGCAGTGGCATGATCTCAGCTCACTGCAACCTCCTCCTCCTGGGTTTAAGCCACTCTCCCGCCTCAGCCTCCCAAGTTGCTGGGATTATAGGCGCCTGGCACCATGCCTGGCTAATTTTATTTTTTTTGTCTTTTTAGTAAAGATTGGTTCCCCCATGTTGGCCGGGCTGGTCTCCAGCCCCTGATTTTAAATGATCCACCTGCCTTGGCGTCTCAAAATGCTGAGATTACAGGCGTGAGCCACCGCACACAGCATATAAAGGTATTTATGATCCCTAGATTTTACACTTAAAAATGGTAAAGTTGATAAATTATATAGGTATATTTAACCTCAATCAGCATTTTTTCAAAGGAAAAGAAAAAGTGTAGGGGTTGCTGGTGATGACATCTCTGTGTAGGTGAGAGGCCAGGGTGGGCTTCTGGGAAATGGGTAAGGTTGAGGGGCTGAGGGAACCTCTGATCTCCCCAAACTGAGCCCAGTCTCCCTCCTCTGGGTCTGTCCTGACCACTTTCTCCATCTGCCTGGGTACCCGGAGCCCTTACTGCAAGCTTCCATGCAGGCCATGCAGGAGGGTTTGGAGGTGCCCTGTCTGCCATCCTGTGCCCTGATCCCACCCTCACACCATGCTGCATCTTCTCTCCACATCTGTCCATGCTTCTCTCCATCATCAGCAGGAAGCTCCTCAGCTAAGGCTCTAGGACCATAGGACATGGGACAGACATTGGCTTTCCTCACCTGTGACAGAAACAGGCAGTGGGTCACTCGGGTCTGACCACTCGTAGGGAGATCCATGGAAAGAGCCGAAGCATCTGTAGGTCTCTCCGTGGGTGGCAGGACCCAGAGGGAAGTCGGCCTGGAATGTTCCATTGATGCTGGGCACTGCAGGGAGCCTAAGTTCATGGGCTTCCCCCTCCCTGGATAGATGGTAGATGTCAAAGGAGCTCTGGGAGCTGCAGGACAAGGTCACGTTCTCTCCTGCGCGAACCGTGGGGCCCGGCCGGGCTGTAAGCGAAGGTTTCTCATATAGACCTGGAAGGAGAAGAGGCAGTTTCCTCAGGGAGGTTCTTCCTTGTCACAGCTCCCCTCCCACCTGAGCTGAGAACTCACTGCCCTGCTCTATGGCCTAGTGCTCTCTCTCTCTCTCTCTCTCTCACCCTCCACCCCCAACTCTTCCTGTCGATCCCTCCCTATGTGGTTCCAGCCTGGTGGTGGCATCAGCAGTGCACCCTTGCTGATCTCAGGGTAGCCAACCTTCTTGTTTGGTTTTTTAACTTGTCCTTCACCTGGGTTCCTGTGTTGGTTTCCTGATGTTGCTGGAGAAAATTATCACAAACATGGCGGCAGGAGAGAACACACTGACCCCTTCCACTTCTGGAGACAGAAATCAGACCCTGTTCTTCCTGGGCTACAATCAAGGCATCTGCAGGGCTGCATTCCCTCTGGAGACTCGGGAGAATCAGTTCCATTGATTTCTCCAGCCCCTTCGTGGCTCGTGGTCTTCCTCCACCTTCAAAGCCCACAGTGGCTGGTGGAGTATCCCACGATGCTGCTCTAATCCCCATTCTCCTCTTCCTTCTCCACTCATATGGACCCTTGTGATTACACTGAGCCCAGTGGGAGGGTCCAGGCCATCTCCCCATCTCAAGGTCAACTCATCAACAACCTGAGCTCCATCTTCCCCTTCAGTCCCCTGCCCTATAACATAGTCACAGGCTCCAAGGATTACAATGTGGCCATCGATGGGGACAGTTATTCTTTCCAACACAGCACCCATTCCCCTGTATTCAATCCCCCTTTACCCCAAATATAGTTGGGGCCTGGATGATCGGACTCTGGTGGACACCCCCACCAGAAGCTCTGGGACTCAGGAGGTGGGACAAGGAGAAGCCCAGACAGGAGCCCTCTGACCTGTGACCATGATCACCAGGGGGTTGCTGGGTGCCGACCACTCAGTGGGGGAGTGCGGGTGAAAACCTCGACATCTGTAGGTCCCTGCGTGTGCTGGGGTCACAGGGCTAATGAGGAAACTGTTCCAGAATATTCTGTTGTAGAGCTCAGGGACAGGGACCCCATCTTTCTTGTACAGCGTGAAGATGTTAAACCCACGACGACAGTGACACCGAAGAGTCACGTGTCCTCCTTGAGGCACCACAGCGCTGGGCCAGGCAGAGCAGAAGGGCTTGTCCTGACCACCTTGGGGAGAAGGAGATGCCGCCTCAGAGAGGAGTATGTTGAGCTGCCCCTCCCTCCCTGTGCTCAGAAGATTCTCCCCATTTCTTCTTTCTAAGGCTCCTACCACACCTGGGTGCCTGGGGCTACAGGAAGGACCCATCCCGCATAGACGTGGCGTCTCCCTACAACAAAAGTGTCAGTTGAGAACTGAGCAGGTGCTGAGTAAGGGACTCTTACTAGATTTTAATACTGCAAGATTAGTTACACCAAACAACACAAAGTAGACATGGGGTGGAGGGTATGACCTTTGTGAATGGAATATTAGCTAATGCCTGAACCACAATAAACAACTGAGCTCCATCAGAGGATTTGGAATGGCAGGGTCGTGGCTGTGGTTCCCCCACCTCTTCTGGCAGAATGACAGCAGCCACACTGCAGCCCCTACCGTCATGGAAACGCTGGAGGGTGTGAGTTACCCTCTTGTCCTCAGAGGACCTGCTGTTCCTAACACTGCTACCCTTCCCTCCTCTGTCGGTGACACCACATCCCCCCACACACCCCAGCTTTGAGCACCTCAGTATCCCGCCTGGGCCACACAGAGCTCAACTCAGCCATGGGGAAGAAAGGCTGGGGAGGGCTAAGACAAAACAGAAGGCTGAGCATACCAGGATCTCCTCTTACTAGTTCATGAGAGACTCCCAGGATCTCCTCTTACTAGTTCATGAGAGACTCCCAGGATCTCCTCTTACTAGTTCATGAGAGACTCCCCCCAGGCCTTCCCATGGTCAGCCCATCAGCCCACCCTCTGTGCTGCCTCCCTCCCATTTCCGGAAAATTCACTTGTATTGGGGTGAAGATGGCAACCCATCATTTGGGGAAGGACTCACCCACGTGTGCCCACACACTCTGGTCCAAGAAGAACCCTGCAAAGAAAGATCATGAGGAACTATTCATCTCGGCAGCAACCTACCCTTTCCTCCTGAGCCACTGGGCGCCACGCTGGACTGAAAATTAACTCATCCTCACCACTCACTTGCTTCAGAACATGGCTCTCTGCTGGGGAGACACCCAATCTGCAGGCCCATAGTGTAACCCTGGTGCTCCTTCCCTTCCAGGACTCACCAAGACATGCCAGGATGATGACCGTGGGTGACATGGACATGGTGCAGCTTCTGCTGCCAGGACGCAGTGACTCGGCTCGACTGACCGGTGCAGAGGATGTGGTGAGGGGCCCGGATCGTGCAGTTGACACATTGACCACAACATGTGAAGGGGACATAGGTAGGCTTCTTCTACGTCATATGAGGTTCAAGTGGTGAATCAGTCAAGGGAGGAATGAGGGTTTCTGAAAACTGCAGACTAGACTTGTCACTTCACATCATGCGCAACGGCCAGGCTCAAAACACATCTCAGACTCACTTACCCCTGCACGGGACGATTGAATTCTGCACTCACATGAGGAACTTTTGATGTATTTTTTTTTGTTTCTACCTGAGATTCAAACTCTCCTTGATATGTAATATGCAAAATACCTAATAGGTTTTATTAACACTATAGAGCAATCGTATTAAATAAATCATCATAATTTTCCATGGTTGTATTTTTCCTGTTAAGCCAGAAACAGATAAAATGATTTAAATCCCAGTAGAAAAGACTATATAGTTATTTCGCATCATAGAATTCCACCTTATTAGCAAAAACACAATATGTCAATTGAAGGTCTGGTCGTGTTATCTAGAATTTGTCTTATGACACAAGAGTCCAAATTCACAGTTCCCTGTCTCCCTTTTTGTCTCTCTGTAACGTGTGCTTTTTTTCTCCCTGTGTTGTTTGTGTGTCTTTCTTTCTCTCTCTCATTTGAGGAAAAAATATCAGACTGATAACATCCTCCAACTTGATACTGGAATATTGCAATAACTGAAGGTTGAAATCTACACATTTAATGTGCTGTCATTCTTACAAATGTCTCTTATTTACACCTACCTTTCTGGAGTTTGTAAGAACTTTTTCACTATGCATTTTAAATTTGTAAAACTCATAATTTTTAAAAAGGGATGGGTCTCACTGTTTGCCCAGGGTGGCCTTTACTCATTCTATAAGGCTGGCATCACCCTGATACTAAAGACAGAAAAGAACATTAAACAAAAGAAAACTACATGCCAATATTCCTGATGAACATAGAGGCAAAAATCCACAAAAAATACTAAGAACTGAATCCCGCAGCATATCAAAAAGTGAATCCACCATGATCAAGTCAACTTTATTCTTAGGGTGCAAGGTTGGTTGAACATACACAATCAATACATGTGATTCATCACCTAAACAAAACTAAAAACAAAAACCACATGATCTTCTCAACACACATGTAGAACATACTTTTTACTAAGCATTTCTTCATGTTAAAAGCCCTCAACAAGCTAAGCATTGAAGAAACATAACTCAATATAATAAGAGCCGCCTGTGACAAACCCACAACCAACATCATACTGAATGAGTAAAAGCTGGAAGAAGTTCCCTTCATAAGTGAAACAAGACAAGAATGCCCACTCTCACCATCCTATTCAACATAGTACTTGAAGTCCTAGACAGAGCCATCAGGAAAGAGAAAGAATTATAAGGCATCCAAGTAAGAAGAGAGTAGCAGAGAGAGGTAGTCAAATTACCTCTGTTTGAAGATGAGATAATTTCTATACCTAGAAACCCCATAGTCTCTGCCCAAAGGCTCCTACATCTGAGAAACAAACTTCAGCACAGTTTAAGGGCAGAAAGTCAATGTACAGGCTGGGTGTGGTGTCTCAGCCTGAAATCTAGCACTTTGGGAGGGCGAAGCGGGTGGATCACCTGAGGTCTGGAGTTCGAGACCAGCCTGGCCAACATGGCGAAACCCTGTCTCTACTAGAAACACAAATATAGCCGGACGGGGTGGTACGCAACTGTAGTCCCAGCTGCTTGGGAGGCTGAGTCAGGAGAACCGCTTGAACCTGGGAGGCAGAGGTTGCAGTGAGCGGAGATCACGCCATTGCACCTCAGCTTGGGCAACAACAGTGAAACTGCATCTCAAAAAAAAAACCAAAACAAATTTAATTAATGAGGAAAAGGGTATTTGTGGTGTCCATCATGATGTTTTCATATAGGTACACATTGTGGAATGGATGAAACAACCTCTTTATCATATTTATTTTTTCACATACTTGTATGTTTTGTGTGTGTGGTGAGAACATGTAAAATCTAATCTCTTAGTAATGTTCAATACACCATATGTTGCTATTAACTGGAGTCACCAAGACATACAATAGATCTCTTGAACCGATTTCTTCTAACTGAAATTTTGCATCCTTTGACCAACATCTCTTCAATCTCTCTCCATCCCAGGTTCTTTCGACGACCATTTTACTGTTCCTCTAGGTTCCACTTCTTACACTCCACACATGAGATCATGTGGCATTTGTCTTTCTGTGCCTGGATTGTTTCCCTTAACATAATGTCCTCTAAGTTTTTTCACATTGTCACAAATGAGAGGACTTCCTTCTTTGTTGTAAAGGTTGTATAGTACTTCATTACGTTCCTATCGTATACCACGTTTTCTTTGTCCATGCACCCATAGATGGGCAGTAAGGGTGATTCCACATCTTGGCTGTTATGAATAATGCGGCTGTAAACATGGGAATGCAGATATCTCTTCAACATACTGATTCCACTTCCTTTGGATACATGCGCAGTAGTTGGATTGCAGACACATATGGGAATTCTATGTTTAATTTTTTCAGGAACTTCCAGACTGTTTTCCATAATGGTTGTGCTAATTTACATTCCCATCAACTGCATACAAATGTTCCCTTTTCTCCACATCCTCGTTAACCCTTGTTATTTTTTATGTTTTTGATAATGGTCTTTTTTTTTTTTTTTTTTTGAGACTCAGTCTTGCTCTGTCACCCAGGCTGGAGTGCAGTGGCACAATCTCGGTGTACTGCAACCTCTGCCTCCTGGGTTCAAGCGATTCCCCTGCCTCAGTCTCCAGAGTAGCTGGGACTACAAGTGTGCGCCACCAAACTCTGCTAATTTTTGTATTTTTAGTAGGGATGGGGTTTCACCATATTGGCCAGGCTGGTTTCGAACTGCTGACCTCAGGTAATCTCCCTGCCTCGGCCTCCCAAAGTGCCTGAATTACAGGCATGAGCCACCATGCCCAGACTGTTAATGGTCATTCTAAGAGGTGTGAGGTGATATCTCATTCTAGTTTTAATTTTTATTTAGCTGATGTTTAGTAATGCTAATCATTTTTTCATATACCTTTTGGTGATTTGTCTTATTCTTAGAAATGTTTATTCAGATACTTTGCCCATTTTTTTAAGTTGGGTTATTTGATTTCTTACCATTGAGTTGTTTGAGTTTCTTATATATTTTGGATATTAATTCCTTATTAGATGTATGGGTGCAAATATATTCTCCCATTCCATAGGTTGTCTTTCCACTTGTTGAGTTTTTTTTTTCTTTGCAGAAACTTTCAATTTGATATAATGTTATTTGTCTACTTTTGCTTTTGTTGCCTGGGCCTTTGGGTTAATATCCAAAATGGTTTTGCCCAAGCCAGTGGAGTTTTCCCTTGATTTCTTTTAGTAGTTTTTTTTTTTTTTTTAAGATGGAGTCTCACTGTGTTGCCCCGGCTGGAGTGCAGTGGTGCGATCTCGGCTCACTGCAACCTCTACCTCCTGGGTTCAAGTGATTCTCCTGTCTCAACCTCCCGAGTAGCTGAGATTACAGGCACCCACAACCACACCCAGCTGTTTTTGTATTTTTAGTAGAGGCGGGATTTCACCATGTTGGCCATGCTGGTCTTGGAATCCTGACCTTAGGTGATCTGCCCACCTTGGCCTCCCAAATTGCTGGGATTATAGTCTTTCATCTTACATTTAAGTCATTAATCTATCTTGAGTTGACTTTGTATGTTTTGTGAGGCAAATGTCCACTTCCATTCTTCTGCATGTGGACATGCAGTCTCCCAATCCCATTTATTAAAGAGACTGTTCCTTCTCCATTGTGTGTTCTTGACACATCCCAAAAATTGTTTGACCCTAAATGCATGCATTTTTTTCCTGGGCTATGAATCACTTCCATTGGTCTATGTGTCTGTTTTTATGCAAGTACTGTGTTGTTTTAATTACTGTAATTTTGTAATGTAGTTTGTGTTTAGGTAATGTGATGCTTCCAACTTTGTTCCTTTCCCTCTAGATGGCTTTGGTTATTTGAGATCTTTTGTGGTTCCACATGAATTTTAGGACTGTTTTTTCTATTTCTGTAAAAAAAATGTCATTGGATTTTTGATAATGGTTGCATTGAATCACTTTGGATAGAATGGACATTTTAACAACATTAATCCTTCTGATCCGTGAACATGGAATATCTTTCGATTTATTTGTTTATTTCTTGAGTTTTTTCATCAATGTTTTATAGCTTTTGCATACAGATCTTTCTACTCCTTGGGTGAATTTATTCCTGCATGTTTTGTTTTCTGTAGTTATTGCAAATGGGCTTATTTTCTTGTAAACTTTTTTGGATAGTTTGTTGTTAATGTATAGAAACTTTGTTGTTGTTGTTGTTGTTGTTTTGATGATACCCATCCTAAGGGGTATGAAATGGCATCTGGTGTAGTTTTAGTTAGTATTTCCCTAATGATTCGTGATGCTGAATATCTTTTCATGCGTATGTTCTTTGGAGAAATGTCTGTTTCAGTACTTTGCCCATTTTTGAATTGAGTTTATTGTGATTGAGTTTTAGGAGTTGTCTGTATATTCTGGATGTTAATCCCTTACAGGTGGTGTGGTTTGAAAACATTTTCTCCCATTCTGTGGGTTGTCTTTTTACTTTGATAATATCGTCTTAAAAGTTCTTTTTCCTTGCCATGTGAAGTAACTGATGTTGTCTTTTGAGTCACAATATTTCAAAATTTTCATAAAGTCTAACTTGTTTATTTTTTCTGTAGTAGCCTGTGCCGTTGTTGTCACATCTAAAGAATCACTGCCAAATCCGATGTTGTGAAGTTTTCCTTTGTGTTTTCTTCTAAGACTTTAATTAAATTTTATTTGTCAATATTTAGGACTGACAAAAGCTTTTTAACATTCCTGGCACCATCTCAGTTATTGATCTACTCCCAAGATGGATCATTTCAATTAAAACATGTAAAGCATGACCTCACCTGAATGTGTTTGAACTTGCTCTTCTCCCTTTCAAATCGACTCCCTCACTTACATAGTTTGTGTTCAAATGTCAACAAATAAAACATAAAAAGAAATCAATCTTTTCATAGACCCTTTATCTAAAATAGAATAGTAGGTGCCATGACATTTCATCCTTTCATCTTGAATTATTTACTTTTCTACATGAACCAATCCATTCTTCTGTGTGCATGTGTGTGTGTGTGTGTGTGTGTAGTTTATCTGTCTACATATAATGTAAACACCAAAAAATAACAGACATTTAGTAATTTTCAAATGAGACTTCAGGAATTAACAATGGCTTGCCATTTTTAGTGTGTTATTATTATTATATTTAGATGAACAGAATTGCCTCAGGAACATGGCCAGGGGCTCATAGTCCAGGAGAACTGTGGCCTGACTCAGGTACATTTTACCTGCAATAACAGCAATTGCAGGTCACTGGAGTCCATCACAATTGGCTGGAGACAAATGTAAGACAAGAATATTTGCAGTTTCCCCAGACTGACACAGTTGCAGGTTCCCCGAAGTAATGAGTCCTGAGACACCTCCAACAAGAGCTAGAAAAGGTATCACTTCAAGAGGAGTTGCAGCCTACTCATTTTAGACAAATGGAGCAAAATTACAGTATCACATCTTTTCCTTTCTCCTTCATAGAATCTGGATGAACAGAACAGAAAGAGTTAATGGAATATAAGATTCCAATTCTCTGGCATGAGAAAATAGACAAGGAAAGGAAGATTCATCTTCATCACATCTCAGACATGCTTGGACACAGGGTCCAAGCACAAAAGAGAAACACATACTTCTTCCCATCCACACTGGGATCCAGGGTCTTCTCCCTCCTGTCAGGCCAGAACTGAGTCTCCACTCCCCAATTTAGTTCCCAGAGATGAAGCCCAATTTTCCTCTGTCTCAAGCTTTGAAGGCCAGCTTTAGCGTGTTCACCATGGATGAATGAAGGTGAGGTCAGAGGTTTGGGAAATGGTCAAGAATGAGGTGAGAAGAGAGCTGTGGAGGCATGGCCCCGGGGAGCTTGGTACCCCCCCATATCCAGAGCCTGTCTGGTCCAGGAGAGTTCCCAACCCTGTGAGCACCAACTCCGGATATTCTGGGCAGTGACCCGAGGGACAGCCTCTTATGAATACAGGCTGTTTTCCTCCAGTGTCTGCTGTGAAACCAGGATGTACAACATGGCCGTGTTCAACCCAACAATGGACTTAGGATTTTGCTGTACGCCAAAACTCAGTGTCCAACTTCCACTCTGTTTAGCTGGAAAAAGAAGGGGTTTGTTCCCATACATCTCACTCCTGTGTTCCTCTTTCAGTCTCAAAGCTCAGATGAAAACAATGAGTGTCACTTATTGTCAATCCTCTTCCCTGCCTTTTCCACACTCATCAGTATTACCGTTTACATTGAGACTAAAGATGGCCAATCACCACTTTTCTTCGGAAAAATCAACCTGATGTTGTACCTACTTTTTTAGAGGTGGAATCAACCTACCCTAAGATGCCAACTACATTTTACTGAATGGACTTTTGTGGATCCCCTCGATGTATATAGTGGCACCTTGAGGTATCATCCCTGTCTTTAGCAAATGAATATTATCCCAAGGACAATATTTCATCACAATTATTCGGGATGGACGAGTGGATATTGTGGTAGCAAGAACATTACTAAAAGTCACAGCTGATACAACACACTTGAAACCCATCTGGCCAATCTCCCACAGACAGAATGTCGCGCCATTCACTCCAGCCAGCTTCAGTCATGTTTCTTCCATTTCCACCTGTGGCCCCTCATGTCTCCACCAGGTCTTAGCCAGCATTGCCAAAAGAGCCAGGAAGACCAGACCAGCCACAACAATCCTGATGGAACTCTCCACAGTATAGTTCTGGAGAACAGGGGCTGGAGGGTGGGGGTAAGATCAGAGACCTTTCCATGTGGGCCAGGCCCCTCTCTCCCCAGAAGCTCTGAAATGGAGCTATTTCCCCATCTCACCTTCATAAAATTCTTCCTGTCCAGAACCCCTCTTCTCCCTATATCATCATGAGCACCTTCAGAAGTCTTTTGCCACAAAAAGAAATTTCTTTTGAAGATATACATTTTTTTGTACATTTCAAAAATGTTCCCAAACTAATTCTCCAAAGCAATAAATGTTTGTGTGTATTGCTGGGTAGGTTATGCATACAAGGAAAGGAAGCATAGTGAGTCTGATTTGGCAGAGGAAACATATGTGGAAATTATATCATTTACTCTCTTTACAAAATTAAGTACAAAATTGAAAACACTGGTAAGAAAGAATGAGCTATAGAGAAAGAAAACATCTGAGATGCTTGTTTCCAAGATGGCTGACTAAATGCTTTTCTGGCATGTCTCATCCACTTAGAAGAACGAGCAGAATCCAGAACAAAAACCATATGATCATCTCAATAGACATAAAGAAAAGCATCTGAAAAGAAATTCAACATCCTTACCTGATGAAAACCCTCAAAAACTTAGGCATAGAAAGAACATACCTCAAAATAATAAAAGCCATAGATGACATATCTAGAGTCAACATCATACTGAACAGGAAAAGTTAAAAGCACTCCTCTGAGAACTGGCACAAGACAAGGACACGGACATCCACCACTTCCTATCAACATAGTACTGGAAGCCTTGTCAGAGCTATTGGGCAACAGGAAGAAGTAAAAATCCAAATTAGAAAAGAGGAAGTAAAATTATTTTTATTTCTGATGCTATGATCTTAAATCTAGAAAATCCTAAAGACCCTGCCAAAAATTCTTATGATTGATAAATGAACTAAGTAAAGTTTCAGAATACAAAATCAATATGTAAAAGCCGGTAGCATTTCTCTACACCTATAATGATCTAGCTGAGAACCAAATCAAGAAGGCAATGCCGTTTACAATAGATACGCAAAATTAAAACACTCAGGAATACATTTAACCAAGGTGGTGAAAGATCTGTACCAGGAAAGGTGTAAGACACCAATGAAAGCAATTATAGATAATACAAAAAAAAAAAAGAAAAAAAATCCCACGCTCATGGATCATAAGAATTAATATTGTTAAAATGACCATACTGCCTAAAGCAATCTACAGATTCAGTGCAATTCTTATATGAAAATAGTAACACCAGTTTTCACAGAATTAGAAAAAGCAATCCTAAAATTCATACAGAACCAAAAAAGATCCTAATAGAGAAAGCAATTCTAGGTGAATGTAGAAACCTGGAGGCATCACGCTATCTGACTTCAAACTATGCTCTAAGGCTATAGTAACTTAAATAGCACAGTGCTGGTATAGACACAGAAACAGAGATCAATAGACCAGAATAGAGAGCCCAGAAATACAGCCTCATATCTACAGTGAATAATCATTGACGACGTTAACAAAACATACCCTGGAGAAAGATTTCCTTTTCAATAAAAGGTGCTGGGAAAACTAAATAGCCATATGCAGAAGAATAAAACTGGACCTGTATCTGTAATCATACACATAAATTAACTTAAGGTAATTAGCAGCTTAAATGTAAATCCAGAACTATAAAATCACCGGTGGAAACCCAAAGAGAAACTCTTCTGGGCATTGGTCTGGGCAAAGAATTCATCACTAAGACCTCAAAAGCACAGGCAATAAAAATAAAACTAGACCAATGGGACTTAATAAACGAAAGAGCTTCTGCCAAGCAAAGGAAATAGTAGCAGGGTGAACAGACAACCCACAGAATGAATGGAAATGTTTGCAAACTATGCACCCAACAGGGGACTAACATCCAGAATTTCTAGGCAACTCAAACAACTAAACATAACCCCTCAAATAATAGCATTAAAAAGTGGGCAAAGGGATATACATAGACATTTTTCAAAAGAAGACATACGAATGGCCAAACAGCGTATGAACATCACTAATCATCAGAGAAATGCAAATTGAAACCACAATGAGATATCATCTTACAGTAGTCAGAATGGCTATTACTAAAAATGCTGGTGGGGAGTGGTGGCTCACGCTTGTAATCCCAGCACTTTGGGAAGCTGAGGCGGGTGGATCATGAGGTCAGGAGTTTGAGACCAGCCTGACCAACATAGTGAAACCCCATCTCTACTAAATATACAAAAGATTAGCTGGGCATGGTGGTGTGGTTCTGTAATCCCAGCTACTCAGGAGGTTGAGGCAGGAGAATCATTTGAACCTGGTTGGTGGAGGTTGCAGCGCGTGGAGATGGCGGCACTGCACTCCAGCCTGGGTGACAGTGGAAGACTCCATCTCAAAAAGAAAAAAAGAAAAAGTGAAACATATAACAGGTGTTGGCAAGGATGCAGAGAAAAGGAAACTCTTATACACTGTTGGCCGGTATGTAAATTAGTATAGCCTCTATGGAAGACAGTATGGAAATTTGGCAGAGAACCAAAAATAGAAGCACCATTCGATCTAGGGGTCCCGCTGCTGGGTATCTACTCAAAAAATATCTGCACCTGTATGTTTATTGCAGCACTGTTTGCAATAGCAAAGATATGAAATCAATCTAAGTGTCTGTGAATGAATGATTGGATTAAAAAAAGGATGCGTGTATACACAACGAAATACTATTTGGTCATAAAAATAAAACCATGTCTTTTGCAGCAACATAGATGGAGCTGGACGCCATTATTTTACATAAAACCACTCAGAAAGACAAATACCACATCTTCTCACTCTACATGGGAGGGGAGTAATGTGTACATATGGACGTAGAGTGTGGAATGACGGACAGCGGAGGCTAGAAGGCTGGAGGGTGGCGGGACGTGGGTGAGTGATGAGAATTTGCTTAATGAGTACAATGTACGGTATTTGGGTGATGGATATAGTAAAAGTCCTGACTTCACTACTCTGCAACATACTCATGTCACAAAATTACAAGTGTACCTCATAAATTTATACTAATAGAAAAGAAAGTCTGTACACAGTAATCAATTGTGATATGTAGATAAAGTCAATATTAAATTTAAACCAGAATAACTAGTTAAAATGTTGTGTACACAACAGTGAAGAGAGTATTTATCCTCTATGACAGAGGAAACCATCAATATTAATGCACAGAAAAAGCAAATAACTGAAACAAGAAAGAGCAGTTTTGTGACAGGGTAAAAATTGACAACAGTTTTAGAATGCTCCTAACTTGAGTTCCAAAAAGAAAGAACGAGAAAACAGGTCAGAAGCAATCTTTAAAGAGGCAATTGTTGATTATTTGGAGGAAGTAGACACATCCATCAATCCACAGGTTCAAGAAATCCAGTGAATGCCAGGCAGAATGAAGTAAACACACCTCACGTTCAACATTACAGAAAAGCAGCATAAAAGCACAACCAACCCTTAAAATTAGCCAGAGGAAAAGGATCAGCTGGTAAGGATTTATAGGGAGCCAAGCATTGTCTTCCCCACAGAAAAAAGGAAAACATAAGCCAGTAGAATAGCATCTTTACCCAGCTAAGATACCGTCGCCAGCCACCGACAATTCCTTACATAGTACAGTTACTGTCCAAGATCAACGCAGGAAAGAAACAGAACTGAAAGACAAAAGGGCAAAGAAAGCTTTTCTCACTGACCCTAAAGGAAATTCTGATGACCGTGCCTCAAAGATAAAGAAAGTGAAACCAGATGGGGTGTCGAAGATTCTGACAATAACTAAGAGCAGAGGAAGAACTAAAAATATGGCTATGCCAAAAATGAATATGGACCATACGATAGTGTATGAAAACATGCCCCTGTGTAATTTCTGAAAAAGATAGAATTATGTATACCACAAAACAAAACATCATATAAGTAAATACAAACATATGTACTAAATATGCTCTAAAATCCTGTTCTTACACAGGAAGAGTGGAAATATGTTTTTATATTTGCAGTTTAATCTCTGAAATGATTAATTTCAATTTTAAAAATATGTAACAACTTCAGGATGAGTACACCATATATGTATTCCTAAACGACATAGATCAAAAATAGAATGTTTGAAATAGAAAACCACAGAAGTCAGTGGGAAAAAAAGGGAATCAGGAAAACACAACGTAATAATAACAAAAATATGATTGGAAGAACTGCTCAAACATGAACAAAAGATTGTCAGAAAGTCTTACTTTCTAAGGCGAATTGTTTGAAATTTACAAAGGACACATCTCAATGTTAACAATTCATGGAGTTTGAAATTAAACAATGTAGAAATATACCAAGCAATCACTGTTAGAAATGTGGTATAACTATATTAAAATTAGACAAAATTAGTCTTTGGGAAAAATCAGCGGAAAACATTAAGCATAAAATGTAGGAAAAAAGCAGGTAAATTTATAGCATTTTAAATTTACCAGGAATATATAATCAGTTTACACTTAACCACTCCCAGTAATATTCCTGCAAATATACATGGAGGAAGAGTCGCGGAAATAAATGGACAGGTAGGCAAATCCACGGCCACAGTGGGGTGTTTAACACTCCTCTTTTCTCAGTTGTTGATAGAAGTGGTTCAGGCAATTAGAGAGGATTTAGAAAGATAATTGCTGGACCTGACCCAAGGTATAAGTCCACTCCCAACCACAGGACTCACTTTCCTTACAAGCACAAGGGCATTTAGAAATCTCTCTGGATTCTGACCAGCCCTCACCATATGGCAGGTCCATGGACTTCTTGGAACACACCAAGCTCATTCTCACATTAGGGTCATCCCCAATGTCCTAAGTCCATGAAAGTTCCTTTCAACACACTCCCCAGGGCTCACTCCCTCTTGTCTCTAAGATCGGAGTTTAAATGTGATCTCTCTGATGAGGTCTCAGTGAGACGTTCCCTCCTGTACACTCCAAATGACAACGTTCCACGTTCATTCATTTCATTCTGTGCATGGCACTTTCACCAAGTGCTAAGGATTCACTCACTAATTCATACATTCATTCATTCATTCATTCACTCATTCCATCATTCACTCATTCATTCATTCTCTCATTCATTCATTCATGTTCTGCCTCTCTCTCCCACCCCACAGCAATGTGAGCATCATGAACCCAGGAGCTTGGCCGTGCTGTCTACTCCTGGCCATGAAACAGAGAGAACTGATGGTAGGTGTGAAATAAATATTAGATGAATGAGTTAGTGAAGGGGTCATTTACTGGGTGAGCTCAGTTCTCTCTACTCTAATGCCCTCCCTCGGCTGACTTCCCTGAGTTGCCCCCTCGGCTGAGTGAAGTCCCTTCACTGGCAAATGGAACCTCAACCAGTAGCACCTAGGTGGTCTCATACTTTGTTCTTTCCCTCTCCTCTTGCTCCCTAAGGATTATCAATCTCCATGACAGGGCTGGAGAGCAGACAAGCCACACATTCTTTCTGGGGAGAGAGTAACATGGAGTACAAGGCATTCCACATTTAGGAAGAGAACTCAGTTATGGAAGGTCAGAAATGAAAAGTTCCTACAGACCAACACCCAGGTTGGTGGCCACAGCCCTAAATGCTGATGGAGAATCACTGCAAGTCTGTAGGGAAGATGTCTGGCTTGAGGCCACTGAGCGAAGTGGCAGATCCTTCTCAGCCTTCAGTGCTGAGCCTCTGTCCCCTCAGGGATCCACTGACCAATGAGAAGAGCCTCTTCTCATCTCCTGGGATGGAGCTTGGGGCCCCTGGCGAAGGAATGGGCCTGTTTCCACCTGTCATGTTGTCATCTAGCTTGGAAATCCTGCGAGTCCCAGGGAGGCCCTCCCCGAGTCCCCAGAGAAGACTCCCCCACTGAGTCTCCAAGGTGTGGAGAGAGCAAAAAACATCTAGGGTGGAAAATGCCTCCCATCAAGAGACATTGGGGCTCCCCCAACGATGGTTGCATCTGTGCCCCCCATGTGGAAATCACTCTTTGGTGAGAGGTGGGGGCTTCTGGAAATGGGCAATGGCGGGCGGCCAATGCTACCTCTAGTCTTTCCAATCTGAGCCCGGCCTTTCATGCTCCTGAGTCAGCATTGATGCTGTTTACATGTGTCCCAGGTGGGCTTCTGTACAAAGACTGGGAAGTGGTTTATGTGGCCTGTGCTCTATCTGCAAGCTTCAGGTAGGGTTGCAGTTACCACCCCAAACCCTAATGTGATCTGTCTGCCTCGCTCTGTCTGTCTGTCTATGCCTCTTTCTGTATGTTTGCTTTGTGTCTCTTCTGTCCAGCATCTCTGGCTGACACCCCCATGGCCACCCCCTCCATCTGAGGCTCCCCTGAATGTGGCCATTGTAGTCCATCTGAGTCCCACTATTTGGGGAACAGACTGGTTTCCTCACCTGTGACAGAAACAAGCAGTGGGTCACTAAGGTCTGACCACTCGTAGGGAGAGTCACGGAAAGAGCCGAAGCATCTGTAGGTCCCTCCGTGGGTGGCAGGGCCCAGAGGAAAGTTGGCCTGGAAGGTTCCATTGACCTTGGGCACTGCAGGGAACCTAAGTTCATGAGCCTCCCCCTCCCTTGATAGATGGTAGATGTCATAGGAGCTCCGGGAGCTGCAGGACAAGGTCACGCTCTCTCCTGCCTTAACCATGGGGCGCGGCTGGGCTGAGAGAGAAGGTTTCCCACATAGACCTGGAAGGAGAAGAGGCAGTTTCCTCAGGGAGGTTCTTCCTTGTCACAACTCCCCTCCCACCTGAGCTGAGAACTCACTCCCCTGCTCTATGGCCTAATGCTCTCTCTCTCTGTCTCACCCTCCACACCATCTCTCTTTATGTCTATTTCCTCTTTCCACCTTCTCTGTCTCTCTAGGTCTCTGACCTCACTTTCTCACCTCTAGATATGTTTTCCCTTTTTGGATTGTTTTATTCTCTCTGACTCTCCTTGGACTAGTTGACTTGATGTTACTTTTTTTAAATTCTGAGTTTCTCACTTTGTGTCCTGTTCATAACTTTCTGCATATTTCTATCTATTATCTATCGATATATCTATTTATCTATTTGGTGCCTATCTACAAATTCTCTACCTGTCATCTATATCTATATATAATCTATTTATCTATCAATTGTCTATCCAAAAATCATCTATTATCTATATCTATGTATCGTCTCTCTCTCTCTATGATTTCTCTTTGTCTGCCTCTCTATCTCTATGTATTATCTATCTATCTTCATCTTCATCATCTCTATGTATCATCGATTAATCAATGAATGAATCAATCATCATCTATGTATCTTTAACCTATTATCTATCATCTACCTATTTATCATCTATCTATATCTATCCATCTATCATCTGTCTTGCTCTGCCTCTCGGTCTCTCTAGTTCTCTTTGGAATCTCTGCAATTCATCCCCACATCTCCATCTTTCTATGTCCTTGTGTCTCTCCCTCAGGACTCTAATTTTAGTGCTTTTCTCTGTTCCCTTCCATTGTTCTCTCCACTTCTCTGCCCTCTTTTCTCCCTCTTTATGTGTCTGTGAGTCTCTCAATCTCCTTCCTCTGGCTCATTCTCTGTGTGTTTATGTCTTTGCTTTTTGGTGTCCCTGATTTCTCTCTGTGTCTCTCAGTGATCCTCTCATATGTGGGGTTATTTGGAATGTGAGCCTCAGAATCCAGTCTGGGGACCGCAAGTTCACACAGTATACAGGGGTTGATGTTCTGGGGCCATGATATCCTGGGACGATTACTCTCCATTGCATGGAAGGCAGAGGTGTCAGAATAAACACGGCATCTGTAGGTGCCAGAAGGCCTGAGGCCACAGGGCCCAACTCAGGCCAGAAATATGGGTGTCCTTGGGTTCTTCTGGTAGAGAACACTTTGTGGAAGTAAAACAGAAATGAAACTTCTAACCTGTGCCAGGTCTCTGAGCAAAGTCAGCATGGAAGGACACCTCTCTCTGGCACATGTCTGTCTGTGTCTCCTTTAACTCTTTCTGTCTTTTCTAACTCCCTGTATGGCCCCTGTGTCTGTCCTCTGTTATGACACCTGGTCTGTACTTGTGTCTCCTGTTTCTCTGTCTCTGTTGGTACAGACCTCACCAAGTTAGTCTCTCTCCATAAGAATACCAAGCTCATCTTCCTTATAACCACCTGGGCCTCCAAGTCGTGGATCATTCACTCTGTGTCCCAGTGACAATGAGAATAATGTCCAGACACTCTCACCTGTAATCACGATGTCCAGAGGGTCACTGGGAGCTGACAACTGATAGGGGGAATGAGGAACAGAACCGTAGCATCTGTAGGTCCCTGCAAGGTCTTGCGTCATGCGACCGATGGAGAAGTTGGCCTTGGAGACCCCATCATGGAGCTCTCCAGTGAGGCGCAAAGTGTCATTAAACGTCCCCTCTCTGTGCAGAAGGAAGTGCTCAAACATGACATCTGACCAACATTGCAGGATGACTGTCTCTTCTGATTTCACCAGGGGACCTGGGTGGGCCAGGAGGGAAGGTTTTCTGTGGACTCCTAGGAAGAGAGGTTGTGACTTTAGAAGGCATCTCTCTTTATCATCCCATCCATGGCACCTAGAATGAGTGAGGCTTCCCCTCGCTGGTGTCTTATCTCTCTCCTTCCTCTCTGTGTCTTCATGTTCTTTTCTGTGCCCATAACTCCTGGTACAGGTCCTTCCATCTGTCTCCCTCCCTCTTCTCTGTCCCTCTGTCTCTAGTAGCTCCTGATTCCCTTGACGCTGGGCTCAGCCTCATCTCTTGGGCTGTTGTATCTATTTCGAACTAATGTCTTTCCTGCTTCTATGTGGGGGTGGAAGAGGAACCAGGATAGGCTGCACGTCCAGGCTCTTAGCAGACTGGTTCAATCTCTTTTGGACGAATTGGAATCCTTGGCAGAAGGTATGAACTGATCAGTAAGGCAGGCACCAGTGTCCACACACCCTGTTCCTGGTGGGGACTGGGAGCCACTCTTGCCATGCCTGTGCCTTCTCCATGGTGCCAGCTTCCATAGGCTGGCTTCTGGTGCTGGTTTGAGGAGTATCAACCCCTCCCTATGTGGATGGAGCCTGGTGGTGGCATCATCATCCCACCCTTGCTGATCTCGGTGTAGCCAACCTTCTCTTTGTTTGGTTTCTTTAATTAATTAATTAATTTTGGAGTCAGAGTCTCACTCCTTCACCCAGGCTGGAGTGAAGTGGTGTGGTCTAGGCTCACTGCAACCTCTGTCTCCTGGGTTCAAGTGATTCTCCTGCCCTCAGCCTCCTGAGTTGCTAGGATTACATGCACCTGCCACCACGCCCGGCTATCCTTGTGTCCTTTCTTATCTTGTCCTTGACCTGGGTTCCAGTGTTGGTTTCCTGTTGGTGCTGTAGGAAAATTATCAGAAGCATGGCAGCAGGAGAGAGCACACTGACCCCTTCCGTTTCTGGAGACAGAAATCGGACCCTGTTTTTTGAGGGCTAAAATCAAGGCATCTGCAGGGCTGCGTTCCCTCTGGAGACCCAGGAGAATCAGTTCCTTGACTTTTCCAGCCTCTATAGGCCACCTGCATTCATGGCTCATGGCCTTCCTCCACCTTCAAAGCTGATGGAGACTTCCATTGCACTGCTCTAATCGCCACTCCCCTCTTCCTTCTCCTCTCATGTGCACCCTTGTGATTACACTGAGCCCAGCAGGACAGTCCAGGCTGTCTCCCCATCTCAAGGTCAACTCAACAACCTGAGCTCCATCTTCCCCTTCAGTGCCTTCCCCTATAACATAAATAGTCACAGACTGCAGGGATTAGAATGCAGTCATCATTGGGGACAATTATTCTTTCCACCACAGCACCCATTTCCCTGTATTCAATCCCCTTTTATCCCCAAATACAGTTAGGGTCTGGATGATGGGACGCTGGTGGACACTCCCACCAGAAGCTCTGGGACTCAGGAGGTGGGACAAGGAGAATCCCAGACAGGAGCCCTCTGACCTGTGACCATGATCACCAGGGGGTTGCTGGGTGCTGACCACCCAGTGAGGAAGTGTGGGTGTGAACCCCGACATCTGTAGGTCCCTGCATGTGCTGGGGTCACAGGGCCTATGAAAACGGTGTTTCGGAATACTCTGTTGTAGAGCTCAGGGACAGGCATCCCGTCTTCTTTGGACAGACTGAATTCGTTAAACCCAAGACGAGAGCGACACTGAAGAGCCACATGTTCTCCTTCAGACACCACAGGGCTGGGCCAGGCAGAGAGGAAGGGCTTGTCCTGACCACCTGGGGGAGAAGGAGGCGCCACCTTAGAGAGGAGGATGTGGCACTCCCTCCCTCTATTCCTTTCCAGGACTCACCAACACACGCCATGCTGACGACCATGAGCGACATGGTGCTGCCGGTGCAGACAGGCGGCCGCGCCCCAGCTCAGCTCAGCAGCGCACAGGATGTTATTTGGCGCCCTGCCCATGCAGCTTACATGTTGACTACATCATGGGAGGGTGACGTACGCAGGCTCTTTCTACCTTGCATGAGGCCCAGTGGATGCTTGCTCAAGAGCGGAACACGGCTTCCTGGAAATTGTTCTCACTAGAATTGGCACCTCACGTCCTTCACTATGACCAACTCACAACACGTCTCAGATCCAACCTCCCGAACACAAGATGCCTAAAATCTGTGCTAACGTGAAAGACTTTTCATGTATTTTTATCCGAACACGAGATGCCTAAAATCTGTGCTAACATGAAAGACTTTTCATGTATTTTTTTTGTTTTTATCTGAGATTCAAACTCTTCTTCCTGTGTAATATGCAAAGTATCTAATAGGTATTATTAATGTTTTCGGAGTCATTGTGACTAATAAACCATTAGAATTTTTCATGCTTGTATTTCTAGTATTACAGCAGAACCAGCTAAAATGATTTAAATTCCCAGGGAAGGATTATGCAATTATTTACAATCTTAGAATTGTACTTTATCAGCAAAAACCACACCTGTAAATTCTGGAGTTTTGTAGTTTAATCTAAAATTTGTCTCATGACCCAAGATTCCAGAGTCCCAACTCTGGAGTTTGCTCTCTGTCTGTCTCTCTCCCTCCCTCGTTTTAAATTTTACAGAAATATCCAGTAACATAATGCTATAGAAAATCAAGTTTTCCCCAGCACGTTGGGAAGCCGAGGTGGGCGGATCAACTGAGATAAGGAGTTTGAGAGCAGCCTGGCCAATATAGTGAAACCGTGTCTCTGTTAAAAATCCAAAAATTAGCCGTGCCTGGTGGCAGGCACCTGTAACGCCAGCTACTCAAGAGGCTGAGGCACGAGAATCGCTTGAACCTGGGAGGCGGAGGTTGCAGTGAGCTGAGATTGTGTCACTGCAGTCCAGCCTGGGCGACAGAGCAAGACTCCGCCTCAAGAAAAAAAAAGCAAACAGCCTATAATAACAAATTAGAGGGCTCTGGCTACTAAATTTAAAGGGTTCTATAAGGCTACATAAAGTGCAGCATCATCAAGAGTGTGGACACAGAGAGCCCCTTAGCAGAAACAGTGTCTAAAATACATCCATGTACACACAGTCCCTTTAGAGTTGACAAAGGCTGCCGTGTGGTTTAAGGTGGCATAGAATGTCTTCTCAATAAATAATATTAAACCAATTGGTTACACCTAGGAAAAAATAAATCTAACTCACACTATAAAAACACTTCTTAGTTTTTATCTAGTTGTACATTTTTTATGATTTATATTTAAATTTGAGAAATAAAAGTCATATACGGTCATCCTTCACTATTCGTGGGTGATTGGTTTTGAGATCTCCACTCAGATACCAAAATCTGTAGATGCTCAAGCCTCTTATATGAAATGGCACAGCGTTTGCAAATAACCTATGCACATCCTCCTGTATACATGAAATCATCTCTAGATTACTTATAATTCCTGATACAGCCTACACACAGCTTCATTTGTGTCCATTCAACATAGTTATGCTTTTTGAAACTCTGTGGATACTTTCTCTCAATATTTTTGATTTATACTTGGTTCAATAAACACCTGTAAACCCCGCAGATATGGAGGAGTGACCGTATATTTATATTATGAAAGATGATGTGTTGATATGTGTCCCCATGGAGATGAGACTAACAAGGCCTATGATTCTACAAATGTTTCATTGTGGAATGACTCTGCCAGCTTTCCAGGTCTGCAGAGAGTAAGAGTATCACTTGTTCATATGATTCGTGATCCTTGGAACCTCCTATGTGCTACATCTTTGGATGGAAATTGGAGTCCCAGAGACAAATGAGGCTCCACCCTGCTTCCAGAAACTCAGAGTCCGGGGATGAGAACTCAGTGGGGAACAGATGGGATTATATGGACATGGTACTGATAACACCGGAAGCCTTAGGCAAGAAAAGAGTCCCATTACCGAAACCATGGGGGCAGACATGTTTATTTGAAGGATGGAAAACTACATTGAAGTTATTTTAAAAAATATATAAGTTTTACTGCTGACAGAAGACTGAAAGCTAGTCTGAGGGGAGGTGGAACAGCATGAGGGAAGGTGGAACAACACGTGTCTAAGTGCTGCGTTAAGAGGGAGCCTCTTGTATGTTTGGAATTGTGAGTTCCTCAGTGTGATTGCAGCCTCAAGTAGACTAGGAAGTAAGCCAGTTAGGTTGGAGAGGTGGGCAGGGGTCAAGTGAAATGGAGAACTGTGGGCTAAGCAAAGGAGTGTGTTTTTTCTCCAGCAGGCAGTGGGGACCTTAGACATTTGTAAGCAAGTGAGAGGCACATTCAGATTTGTGGTGTGAGGAAGATCGATGCCCTAAGATGCAGACTCATGCCTTCAGATTCCAGCTGCTGGTACATGGGAGCTGGCAACCCGGTTTTGAGACAGGGCTGTTGTCTCCCTAGAAGACGCCCTCAAGGCCTGACTGTGGTGCTCATGGGCAGGAGACAACTTTGGATCTGGACTCAGCATTTGGAAGTTCCGTGTACACGATGATATCTGTTGGGGGTGTCTTGGGCCTCTGAGAAGGGCGAGTGATTTTTCTCTGTGTGAAAACGCAGTGATTCAACTGTGTGTATGTCACCTCCTGAGGGTCTTGTTCATCAGAGTCCTGGAGAGAGGGAAATGCTGAGTGAGGGAGGGTGCTCACATTTTCCAGGACTCTTTGGGAATAACAGTAGCCACGAGCCCGGGCCGAGGAGTACCTACCTCGCTATTCGCTGTTCTGTTTCCTGCAGACTCTTGGTCCATTACCGCAGCATCTGTAGAAGACGGAAGTCAACAAAACAGCTCGGAGGGCACTTCTGGGTCCTCATTTCATAAGCAGATACCAACATACAGGGGGAGACCATAGGTGGCTGAGGTCCCTCAGTTGCCAACAGCAGACTCAGACATTCTATCTCTCTGAGCTCAAGGACCCATCCCATGAATAGCTCTGAGTTCCCATCCCATTGATTCTGTCTCCCACTTTCTGCCTGTCATGGAACCTTCTCCTGGATGTGAGTGGCTGCAGTGGACATGAGGATACAGTTCAGAATCAGGCAACGGTCTGTGAGTTGAAGGCAGGGACAGGGAGTCTGGTGCCCTCTCTAGAAAGTCCTGCCTCTGTGGCTGCTGCCTTGGGCCAGGGACCATCCTGTTTGTGAGGAACACACACCTGAGTGCTCCCATCCTGCTTCCCCACATGGCCCTGAGCTCTCTGGCCTCTGCTTCGTGAGACTTACTTTTTTTGTTGGAGCACCAGCGAATGAAGGAGAAAGAAGAGGAGGATGAAGAGGATGATGACCACTGAGGTCCCAATCAGAATGTGCAGGTGTCGGGGGTTACCTGGAAGAAGATGAGACACCAATAAGAAGCTAATCTTAGCAGTTCCTCTTTATGAATTGTCTCGCATTTCTTGATTGACAGGTAACCACATAAAACACCTCTTTAGGACAAGCACCCAGATGGCAGGAGACCCAGCTTTCTCCTGCTTTTTCAGTTATAGCTCTCATAGTAACCATAGAACGTGCTGAGGATACGACTACTTTAGTTGAGATGTTTGACCCCTTCAAACCTCACATTGAAATTTCACCCCCACTGTGGGAGGTTGGGCCTCTTGAGAGGTGTTTGGGTCATGGAGGTGGATCCATCATGAACACATCAATGCTGTCCCAAGGAGACGGGGTTAGCAAGTTCCCCCTCTATTAGTTCCCGGAGAGCTGGTTGTTAAAAAGAGCTTGGAAGCTCCATCACTCCCCCTCCCCCTTGCTCCCTCTCTTGCCGTGTGATCTCTGTGGTCTCTGCACAGACAGACCCTCCTTCCCTTCTGCCAGAGTGGGAGCAGCCTGAGGCCGTCACGAGAAATAGATGCTGGTGCCATGCTTCCAGTACAGCCTGCAGAACGGTGAGACAAACCAATCTCTTTTCTTTAGAAGTTACCGAGGCTCAAGTGTTCCTTTAGAGCAACAAAAATGGCCTAAGACAGCAACTTCCTGAGATCAGGAGGAACGTCTCAGAACAGCCCTGGGCTGTCTTCCTGTTCTTCCTGGAGGAGGACGTCATGCAGTGCTTTAGCTGAGTGCTTCCTGTGGCTCCAGGGTACAAAACCCAGGCTGGGCTGCTTTCTGGCTTCCCGCAGCTACACTGCAAATGGGGTGACTCCATATGTCCCGAGGCAGCTTTTCTGAGCCTTGAGGGACTGGGTCACATTGAAATATAGGTTTCTGTTGTCACTCGCTGCTTATCTGTTAGTAATGAACCTGCCTATGTAACGTATTCTCTGTGTGTTCTGTCTCCCTGGAGTGACGGTGAGTGATAGGAATTGGCATAGGCCCAGGTGCAGTCCAGGAGGTGTTTAGAGTCTTCTCTGGGAAGACTGGACTGGGATTGATTCACAGCGAATGTGCTTTAGGGTTTCTACATCCACAGCATTCTTGAATCAAACAACTTGCATTCTCCAAGGAAAGAAAACAAAAGTGAAATCAAGATAAAAAAAGCGAAATAGAATTCTCTTATGTCAAACGGCCAGGAAATAGTGTTGAAGCCCGTGTGAAACCTGCTGCTCTTTGTGATCTCGGGAGACACATATTAGGCTGCTGTTCTACCCGAGAGGCTGGGGGAAGGACCACCCCCTCGGCCATCTATTGCTTCAAAACCACCTGTCCTCCTGTGAATTAGTAGGAAAGGGGAGCAGGAGCTAGTGCTGTCGCTGATCTCTGATTCCAAGATCTGGACTCACTCCAAGGAGTGTTAATGTTTACCTCCCCATGGTCTATCTGAATCTCCACAGGTGATTGGAAGTAGGGGTGAGGTGGGGGATTTGGGTGAGTGGGCAAGTTTTTTTTGTGATGACCAGAGCACTTTCTCTATTCCAGGATCTGTGCTGGAGGATTCAGCGGGCTTTCACATTTTCTATATGATCTCATGCTCACAGAAAGCCAAATAGGGAAGAGGTTTTAGGCTCATTGCCTAATGGATAAGATAAAGGATCAAAGAAGTAATTATAGAGAAATAGAAAAATCATGATTGGAATTCAGGTGCCTTTGTCATTGCGTGTGTGTATTTATTTATATTTATGTATTTCTTATTTTTATTTTTTGAGATAGAGTCTCCTTGTGTCCCCCAGGCTGGAGTGCAGTGATGCAATCTCCACTCACTGCAACCTCCACCTACTGGGTTGAAGTCATTCTCCTGCTTCATCCTCCAGAATAGGAGCTGGGATTACAGGGATGCACCATCGTGCTCGGCTAATTTTTGTATTTTTAGTAGAGATAGGGTTTCACCACGTTGGCCAGGCTGGTCTCGGAACTCCTGACTTCATGTGAATCCACCCACCTTGGCCTCCTGCAGTGCTAGGTTACAGGCTGTGAGCCACCTGTTCACAGACTTGTATATTATGCTATAATAAGTCTCTTCATTTCCACCACCACTCATATATCTGTCACTCCTTTGCCAGGTATTGATTTATGTGTAGGATGAATAAATCTCAGAAAGAAATTAATTAAGTCGAGGATTAAACAAGTAGGAAAATCAAACCCAGTAAGCCGTTTCCAGTCAATGATTCTACCTCACAAACATATCTTATATCCATCTACTTCATTCATTTAGTGTCTAAATCAGCACCACATTTCACCAGTGGGGCGGCAATTGCCTTTTCCACGGTCTCCTAGATTCCAGTTATGCAACCTGGAGCCTCCCTTATTTTCATGTCAGTCATATTAATCATGTAGGGATTCCTAGTTACCCCGAGGTGAATTCCAATGGCTGTGAGTGTCAAGCACACACTCCTTGTTGCTCCTTAGTTTCCTGTGTACCCAGTGTGCTCTCCGTCTCTCTACAGTCGTCTTGTCATTCTCCCCACATCATTCCCAGCATTTGAGTCAGAGCCTCTTCCTTCCATATCAGATTGTTTTCACCTTTGTGCCTTCACTGGCTGACAGCTGTGTGTGCAAAATCCTTCCGCCAATCTTTCAGGGGTTCAATCCGTGTTTTTCATTACTGTCACAAATATCTGAATAGTGAGACCTTCTTTGTCACCTGAAATCATACACTCAGCATTATCTATTATTGATTTTGAATTCTGGCTGGGCACAGTGGCTCACGCCTGTAGTCCCATTACTTTGGCATGCTGAGACGGTCGGATCACTTGAGGTTGGGAGTTTCAGACAAGCTTGGCCAACGTGGTGAAACATCCTCTCTACAAAAAATATACAAAAAGAATTAGCCGGGCACGGTGGCAGTTGCCTGTAATCCCAGCTACTCGAGAGGCGGAGGCAGGAGAATCACTTGAATCCAGGAGACGCAGGTTGCAGTGAGCCAAGATCGTGACACTGCACTGTAGCCTGGAAGACAGAGGGCGACTCTGTCTCAATAAACAAAAGAACAAACAAAAAATAGATTTCATGCACAGATGCTTCCCAATGGACCATTCATTTATAGATCCACTTGTGCGTTCATTTTCTGCCCTCCCATTTAACCATCTGCAATATCAGTGTCCCAAGGGCAGAGGCCAAATGCATCTTGTTCACTGTTTGTGGAAGGCAGGAGAATGCTGTCCCACCCCAAAATGTCCCTGTCCTAGCCTCCATAGCTTGTGAATATGTTATTTTACATGGAAAGGAGGAATGAAGATTGCAGATGGAATTATGGTTGCTAATCAGCTGAACTTAAAACAAGGGTATCCTGGATGATTTCCAGGAGATTATGAGGGATTTTCATCTTGGTGAACCCAATAGAATCCCCAAGTTTTCAAAAGATGAGGAAGAAGGGAGAGCAGCACTCAGAGAAAGAGGTGTGGTAAGGAAGAAGGCACTGAGTGATGCCATGTGAGATGTGACCAGTCTTTGTGGGCTTTGAGGAAGGAGGAAGGGGACCAGGAGCCAAGGAACTGGGAGCCTTTAGAAGCTGGGACAAGTGAGAAGCAGATTCGTGCCTGGAATCCTCAGAGGGAAGGCAGCCTTGCTGTCACCTTGATTTTAGCCCAGTAAGATGCACTTCCTACTTTGAGCTACAGCACTGTAAGATAATTAAAAAACCGTTTTGTTTTCACCCACGAATCTTGTGGAAATTTGTTATGGCAACAATAGGAAAAGGTTCCACACTGCACAGCCTGAGCATGGGGCCGTGGCTGAATGAGTCAGTGAGTCGAAGTGTGCGTGCATGAGCTCTGTTCTCTGTTACGGCAAGGCTCTTTCTCTGCGGAGTCAGCCAGGGTTGCTTCATGACCTACAGGAGCTCATTCCTTGGCAAGTGGAACTTCTCTAAAACACCTTGCCCTCATCAGATGTTCCCTTCCCTTCCCTCTCTCAAGTCTCCAGGAATTTATCCTCCAGTTAGGAATGCAGGTAGAACAAACATTGCATTTTTCCTGAGAAGGATGTCAGATTGGCAATCATTCTTCTAGCTTGTAGGAGGTCTCAGCTCCATAAAATGAGAGATGAAGAGATTTCACTGAGCCCTGTGTTGGGCCCAGATCCCTTTCGCTGTAGGAGTATCTGGAGTTCGGAGATGGTGGAAGACAAGTGTACAATGTCAGAGCTGTGAGATGCTGAGTCAACGCCTGAATCCAAGGTTCCCACCTCCCCAGGGTTCCAAAAGCGGATATAAGAGGGTTCTGTACTCACCGGTTTTGGAGCTTGGTTCAGTGGGTGAAGGCCAACTATTTGAAGGGTTTCCTAGAACATGAGACAGGAGAGAGGTGAGGAAATGAGGGTGTCTGTCCTCCACTCAGTGGAAATCTTTGAGGATGGTTCATGGCCAACACTCTCTTATCTAATATTGAGCCCTGGGAGTCCTGGGATCCTTTTTTCCATAATTTTTTTATATGACACCCACTGTCTTGAGACTTCAAGATATAAAGAGAAAACAGGAGCATCACACTACCTGATCTCAAAATATGTTACAGAGCTGTAGTAAGCAAAATAGCATGACATTGGCATAAAGAAAGGCACATAGAACAACGGAGCAGAATGAATAACACAGATATATTCCATGCATTTACATCCAATGGTTTTTTATTTTTTCTTTTGAGATGGAGTCTTGCTCTGTCACTCAGGCTGGAGTGCAGAGGTGCAATCTCGGTTCACTGCAACCTCAGCCTCCTGGGTTCAATCATTCTCTTGCCTCAAATTCCTGAGTAGTGGTATTACAGGTGCTGACCACCATGCTCAGCTAATTTTTATATTTTTAGTGGAGACGATGTTTCATCACGTTGGCCAGACTAATCTTGAACTCCTGGCCTCAGGTGATCCACCCACCTCGGGCTCCCAAAGTGCTGAAATTGCAGGTGTTAGCCACCAAGCCCAGCCCATCCAATGGACTTTGACAAAGATGCCAAGAACTCACAATCAGGAAAGGACAGTCTTTTCAATAAACAGTGCAGGGAAACCTGGACATCTACATGCAGAGGAATGAAACTGCAACTCTACCTGTCACCATACACAAAAATCAAATGAAAATGGATTAAAGATGTGAGTCTAAGGCCTGAACCTATGAAACACGTAGAACAAAATATTGGGGAAATGCTCCAGGACGTTTGTCTGAAGGAAGACATTTTGTTTTAAACCTTCAAAACACAAGTAATCGAAGCAAAAATAGACCATTGGGATTACCTCAAACTAAGCAACTTCAGCACTGCTAAAAATAAACCAACAAAGTGAAGAGACAACCCACAGATTGGGAGCAAATATGTGCAAACTATGCATCTGAGATGGGATTAATAACTAGAAATATAAGAAGCTCAAACAACTCAATAAAACAAATGATTTAATTGAAAAAGGAGCAAAAGACATGAAATTTCCCCACATACGAAAAAGTGCTCAGTATCACTCATCATCAGAGAAACGCAAATTAAAATCAAAGTGAGTTTTCATCTCACCCCATTAAAATGGCTTTTAGGCCGGGTGAGGTGGCTCACTTGTGTCATCCTAGAACTTTGAGAACCTGAGGTGGGTGAATCTCATAAGGTTGGGAGTTTGAGACCAGTCTGACCCACATAGAGAAACGCTGTCTCTACTAAAAATACAAAAATTAGTAGGGCGTGGTGGCGTGTGCCTGTAATTCCAGCTACTCGGGAGGCTGAGGCAGGAGAATCGCTTGAACCTGGGAGGTGGAGGTTGTGGTGAGCCGAGATAGCGCCACTGCACTCCAGCCTGGGTGAGAAGAGCAAAACTCCATCTCAAAATAAAATGAAATAAAATAAAATGGCTTTTAGCTGCAAGACAGGCAAAAGAAATGCTGGCAAGGTGGTAGAGAAAGGAGAACCCTGGTACCCTGTTGGGAGGAGTGTAAATTAGTACAGCCATTACGGAGAAAAGTATGGAAGTCCTTTAAAGAACTAAAAAGAGGTTGGGTGAGGTGGATCATGCCTGTAATCCCGGCACTTTGGGAGACTGAGGCGGGCACCTCAGTTGAGGTCATGAGTTTGAGAGCAGCCCAGCCAACATGGGGAAACCGCATCTATACTAAAAAAACCAAAAAGTAGCCAGGCATGGTGGTGTGCACCTGTAATCCCAGCTACTAGGGAGGCTGAGGCAGGAAAATCATTTGAACCCAGGAGGCGGAGGTTGCAATGAGCCAAGGTTGCACCACTTTGACTCCAGCTTGGGCTAAGGAGGGAAACTCTTTCTCAAAAAAGAAAAAAAAAAAAAAAAGAGAACTTTCATAGTATCCAGCAATTTCACTACTGGGTTTATATCCAAAGGAAAGTAAATCAACATATCGAAGTGATATCTGCACTCGTATGATTGGTGCAGCACTGTTCACAGTAGCCAAGATGAGGAGTCAACCTACCTGCCCATCAGTGGGTGAATGGATAGAGAGAATGTAGTACATACGCACAGTGGAGACTACTCATCCATAGAAAGAATAACATCCTGTCATTTGCAGCCACATGGATGGAACTGGAGGTCATTAAAAAGATTCCCATTTCTCACCCATATACAGGAGCTAAAAGGTGGATCTCATGAAGGTAGAGAGTAGAATGGTGGCTACTGGAGGACAGGAAGAAAAGGGTGGAGGGTAAAAAAAATGTATATATATATATATATAAAAATGTATTTATGACCACTAGACTTTACACTTAAAAATGGTAAATGTGGCTGGGCCTGGTGGCCCATGCCTGTAATCCCAGCACTTTGGGAGGCTGATGCGGGTGGATCACGTGGTCAGGAGTTCGAGACCAGCTCGACCAACATGGTGAAACCACCTCTCTACTAAAAATACAAAAAGTAGCCTGGCGTGGTGGTGCGTGCCTGTAGCACTAGCTACTCAGGTGGCTGAGGCAGGAGAATCGCTTGAACCCAGGAGGCGGAGGTTGCAGTGAGCTGAGATTGTGCCACTGCACTCCATCATAGGGGACAGAGCTAGACTCCACCTCAAAAAAAAATGTTAAAAGTGGTAAGCTATATAGGTATATTTATCCTCAATAAATATTTCTTCAAAGAAAAGTAAAGGGTGTAGGGGTTGCTGGTGATGACATCTCTGTGTGGGTGAGAGGCCAGGATGGGCTTCTGGGAAATGGGTAAGGTTGAGGGGCTGAGGGAACCTCTGATCTCCCCAAACTGAGCCCAGTCTCCCTCCTCTGGGTCTCTCCTGACCGCTTTCTCCATCTGCCTGGGTGCCTGGAGCCCTGGCCGTGGGCCTCCATGCAGGCCATGTAGGAGGGTTTGGAGGTGCCCTGTCGGCCATCCTGTGCCCTGATCCCTCCCTCACACCGAGGCTGCGTCTTCTCTCTGCATCTGTCCATGCTTCTCTCCATCCTCAGCAGGAAGCTCCTCAGCTAAGGCTCTAGGATCATAGGACATGGGACAGCCATGGGCTTTCCTCACCTGTGACAGAAACAAGCAGTGGGTCACTTGACTTTGACCACTCCTATGGAGAGTCATGGAAAGAGCCGAAGCATCTGTAGGTCCCTCCGTGGGTGGCAGGGCCCAGAGGAAAGTCAGCCTGGAATGTTCCGTTGACCTTGGGCCCTGCAGGGAGCCTACGTTCATGGGCCTCCCCTTCCCTGGATAGATGGTACATGTCATAGGAGCTCCGGGAGCTGCAGGACAAGGTCACATTCTCTCCTGCCAGAACCGTGGGGCCCAGCTGGGCTGAGAGAGAAGGTTTCTCATATAGACCTGGAAGGAGAAGAGGCAGTTTCCTCAGGGAGGATCTTCTTTGTCACAGCTCCCTTCACCTGAGCTGAGAACTCACTCCCCTGTTCTATGACCTAATGCTCTCTCTCTCTCTCTCTCACCCTCTACCCCATCGCTCTTCATGTCTATTTCCTCCTTCCACCTTCTCTGTCTCTCTAGGTCTCTGACCTCACTTCCCCACCTCTAGATATGTTTTCTCTTTTTGGATTGTTTTATTCTCTCTGACTCTCCTTGGATTGGTTGACTTGATGTTACTTTTTTTAATTCTGAGTTTCTCACTTTGTGTCCTGTTCATAACTTTCTGCATATTTCTATCTATTATCTATCGATCTATCTATTTATCTATTCGGTGCCTATCTACAAATTCTCTACCTGTCATCTATATCTATATATCATCTATTTATCCATCAATTGTCTATCTATCCATCAATCATCTATTATCTATATCTATGTATCATCTCTCTCTCTCTATGATTTCTCTATGTCTGCCTCTGTATCTCTATGTATTATCTATCTATCTGTCTTCATCATCATCATCTCTATGTCTCATCTATTAATGAATCAATCAATCATCATCTATGTATCTATAACCTATTATCTATCATCTACCTATTTATCATCTATCTATATCTATCCATCTATCATCTGTCTTGCTCTGCCTCTCGGTCTCTCTAGTTCTCTTTGGAATCTCTGCAATTCATCCCCACATCTCCATCTTTCAATGTCCTTGTGCCTCTCCCTCAGGAGTCTAATTTTAGTGCTTTTCTCTGCTCCCTTCCATCATTCTCACCACTCCTCTGCCCTCTTTTCTCTCTCTTTATGTGTCTGTGAGTCTCTCAATCTCCTTCCTCTGGCTCATTCTCTGTGTGTTTATGTCTTTGCTTTTTGGTGTCCCTGATTTCTCTCTGTGCCTCTCACTGATCCTCTCATAAGTGGGCTTATTTGGAATATGAGCCTCAGAATCCAGTCTGGAGACTACAAGTTCACACAGCATACAGGGGTTGGTGTTGTGGGGCCATGATATCCTGGGACGATTACTCTCCATTACATGGAAGGCAGAGGTGTCAGAATAAACATGGCATCTGTAGGTGCCACAAGGCCTGAGGCCACAGGGCCCAACTCAGGTCAGAAATATGGGTGTCCTTGGGTTCTCCTGGTAGAGAACACTTTGTGGAGGTAAAACAGAAATGAAACTTCTAACCTGTGCCAGGTCTCTGAGCAAAGTCAGCATGGAGGGACACCTCTCTCTGGGACATGTCTGTCTGTGTGTCTCCTTTAACTCTTTCTGTCTTTTCTAACTCCCGGTATGGCCCCTGTGTCTGTTCTCTGTTATGACACCTGGTCTCTACTTGTGTCTCCTGTTTCTCTGTCTCTGTTGGCACAGACCTCACCAAGTCAGTCTCTCTCCATAAGAATACCAAGCTCATCTTCCTTACAGCCACCTGGGTCTCCAATTCCTGGATCATTCACTCTGCATCCCAATGACAATGAGAAGAAAGTCTGGACACTCTCACCTATGATCACGATGTCCAGAGGGTCACTGGGAGCTGACACCTGATAGGGGGAGTGAGTAACAGAACCGTAGCATCTGTAGGTCCCTGCCAGGTCTTGCGTCATGCGACTGATGGAGAAGTTGGCCTTGGAGACCCCATCATGGTGTTCTCCAATGAGGCGCAAAGTGTCGTTAAACATCCCCTCTCTGTGCAGAAGGAAGTGTTCAAACATGACATCTGACCAACACTGCAGGATGACTGTCTCTTCTGATTTCACCAGGCGACCTGGGTGGGCCAGGAGGGAAGGTTTTCTGTGGACTCCTAGGAAGAGAGGTTGTGAGTTTAGAAGGTGTCTCTCTTTATCATCCCATCCATGGCACCTGGATTGAGTCAGGCTTCCCCTTCCTGGTGTCTTATCTCTCTCCTTCCTCTCTGTGTCTTCATGTTCTTTTCTGTGCCCATAACTCCTGGTGCAGGTCCTTCCATCTGTCTCCCTCACTCTTCTCTGTCCCTCTGTCTCTAGTAGCCTCTGATTCCCTTGCCGCTGGGCTCAGCCTCATCTCTTGGGCTGTTGTATCTATTTCGAACTAATGTCTTTCCTGCTGTCTATGTGGGGGTGGAAGAGGAACCAGGATAGGCTGCACATCCAGGCTCTTAGCAGCCTGGTTCAATCTCTTTTGGACGAATTGGAATCCTTGGCAGGAGGTATGAACTGATCAGTAAGGCAGGCACCAGTGGCCACACACCCTGTTCCTGGTAGGGACTGGGAGCCACTCTTGCCATGCCAGTGCCAGCTTCCATAGGCTGGCTCCTGGTGCTGGTTGGAGGAGTATCAACCCCTCCCTATGTGGATGGAGCCTGGTGGTGGCATCATCATCTGAGCCTTGCTGATCTCAGTGTAGCCAACCTTCTCCTTGTTTGGTTTCTTTAATTAATTAATTAATTTTGGCGACAGAGTCTCACTCCTTTGCCCAGGCTGGAGTGAAGTGGTGTGGTCTAGGCTCACTGCAACCTCTGTCTCCTGGGTTCAAGTGATTCTCCTGCCCTCAGCCTCCCAAGTCGCTAGGATTACATGCACCTGCCACCATGCCTGGCTATCCTTGTGTTGTTTCTTAACTTGTCCTTGACCTGGGTTCCAGTGTTGGTTTCCTGTTGCTGCTGTAGAAAATTATCAGAAGCATGGCACCAGGAGAGAGCACACTAACCCCTTCCAATTCTGGAGACAGAAATCGGACCCTGTTTGTCGTGGGTAAAATCAAGGCACCTGCAGGGCTTCGTTCCCTCTGGAGACTCAGGAGAATCAGTTCCTTGACTTTTCCAGCCTCTATAGGCCACCTGCATTCATGGCTCCTGGACTTCCTCCACCTTCAAAGCTGATGGAGACTCCCATTATGCTGCTGTAATCCCCACTCCCCTCTTCCTCCTCCTTTCCTGTGGACCCCTGTGACTACACTGAGCCCATCAGGACAGTCCAGGCTGTCTCCCCATCTCAAGGTCAACTCATCAACAACCTGAGCTCCATCTTCTCCTTCAGTCCCTTCCCCTATATCATAAATAGTCACAGACTCCAGGGATTAGAATGTAGTCATCACTGGGGACAATTATTCTTCCCACCACAGCACCCATTTCCCTGTATTCAATCCCCCTTTACCCCAAATACAGTCAGGACTTGCATGATGGGACCCGCAAGGACACGCCCACCAGGAGCTCTGGGATTCAGGAGGTGGGACAAGGAGAATCCCAGACAGGAGCCCTCTGACCTGTGACCGTGATCTCCAGGGGGTTGCTGGGTGCCGACCACCCACTGGGGTAGTGTGGTTGTGAACCCCGACATGTATAGGTCCCTGCGTGTGCTGGGGTCACAGGGCCCATGAAAAGGCTGTTCCAGAATATTATGTTGTAGAGCTCAGGGACAGGCACCCCATCTTCCTTTTACAGACTGAAGTTGTTAAACCCAAGATAAGAATGACACTGAAGAATCACATGTCCTGGAGGCACCACAGGGCTTGGCCAGGCAGACAGCAAGGGCTTGTCCTGACCACCGTGGGGAGAAGGAGGCACCGCCTTAGAGAGGAGGATGTGGAGCCGCCCCTCCCTCCCTGTGCTCTGAAGATTCTCCTCGCTTTCCAAGTTTCTATGGCTGCTATCACACCTTGGTGCCCAGGGCTAAAGGAAGGACCCATCCCGCAAACACAAGGTGTCTCCCTACAACAAAAGTGTCAGCTGAGAACTTTGAGCAAGTGCTGAGTAAGAGACTCCTACTAGATTTTAATACTGTAAGATTACTCACATAAAACAACACAGGGTAGACATGGGGTGGAGGGCATGTCCTTTGAGAATGGAATATCAGCCGATGCCTGAACGAAAATAAACAACTGAGTCCCCATCAGAGGATTGGAATGTCAGGGCCATGGCTGTGGTTTTCCCACCTCTTCTGGTAGAATGACAGCAGCCACACTGCAGCCCCTACCGTCATGGAAACGCTGAAGTGTGTGAGTAACACCTTTGTCCTCAGAGGATCTGCTGTTCCTACCACTTCCCCACCACACACCCCAGCTTTGAGCACCGTAGTCTAACCCTGGTCCCCACAGAACTTGACTCTGCCAAGGGAATGAAAGGCCAGGGAGGCAAGGTCAGAAATGTGGGCCCAGCACCCCAGGGTCCCTTCTTCCTAGTTTATGAGAGACTCCCTGACAGGACTTCCCTCCCATTTCAGGAAAATCCTCTTATGTGGGGAGATGACACCCGAAGGTTGGGAGAAGGACTCACCCTCATGTGGCCAGGCCCCCTGCAGCAAGAAGAACCCTGGAAAGAAAGATCATGATGGATGACCCATCTGCAGGCAAACCAGGGCACCCTTGCTGCCCCCACTGGGCTGTGAGTCTTGGTAGCCAGGCCCTTCCTGGGCTGAAGGTAAACTCACCCTCAGTGCCTACCTGCACCCAAGAACAGGGCTGTCGGCTGTGCAGAGACCCAGCCTCCAGGTCCATATCCCCACCTCAAGCCCATATCTCCACTCCAGGCCCATATCTCCACTCCAGGCCGATATTTCCACCCTAAGCCCATATCGCCAATCCAGGCCCATATCTCCAATCCAGGCTCAGATCTCCACCCTGGGCCCATATCTCCAATCCAGGCCCTTATCTCCACTCCAGGTCCATATCTCCTCTCCAGTCCCATATCTCCACTCCAGGCCCATATATCCTCTCCAGTCCCATATCTCCACACCCAGGCCCGTATCTCCATCCTAGGCACATATCTCCTCTCCAGGCCCAGATATCGACCTCTAGGCCCATATCTCCACTCCTGGCCCATATCTCCACTCCAGGCCCAGATATCGACCTCTAGGCCCATATCTCCACTCCTGGCCCATATCTCCACTCCAGGCCCATGTCTCCACTTCAGGCCCATATCTCTACTGCAGGCCCATAACTCCACCTCCAGGCCCATGACTCCACTCCAGGCCCATATCTCCACCTCCAGGCCCATATCTCCCCTCCAGGTTCCTATCTCCCCTCCAGGTTCCTATCTCCACTCCAGGCCCAGATCTCCACTACAGTCCCATCACTCCACCTCCAGGCCTATATCTCGACCTCTGGGCCCAGATCTCCACTTCTAGGCCCATCACTCCATCTCTAGGCCCATATATCCACTCCAGGCCCAGATCTCCACTCCAGGCCCATAACTCCACCTCCAGGCCTATATCTCCACCTCTGGGCCCAGATCTCCATCCCCTCACTCCCTCCCTCTATTGCTTTCCAGGACTCACCAACACACGCCATGCTGACGACCAAGAGCGACATGGTGCTGCCGGAGCAGACAGGCAGCCGCGACCGAGCTCAGCTCAGCAGCGCACAGGATGTTATTTGGCGCCCTGCCCATGCAGTTTACATGTTGACCACATCATGGGAGGGTGACGTACGCAGGCTCTTTCTACCTTGCATGAGGCCCAGTGGGTGCTCGCTCAAGAGCGGAACACGGCTTCCTGGAAATTGTTCTCGCTAGAATTTGACACCTAGTGTCCTTCACTATGACCAACTCAAAACACGTCTGAGATCCAACCTCCCGAACACGAGATGCCTAAAATCTGTGCTAACATGAAAGACTTTTCATGTATTTCTATTGTTTTTATCTGAGATTCAAACTCTTCTTCCTGTGTAATATGCAAAATATCTAATAGGTATTATTAATGTTTTCAGAGTCATTGTCACTAATAAACCATTAGAATTTTTCATGCTTGTATTTCTAGTATTACAGCAGAACCAGTTAAAATGATTTAAATTCCCAGGGAAGGATTATGCAATTATTTACAATCTTAGAATTGTACTTTATCAGTAAAAACCCCACCTGTAAATTCTGGAGTTTTGTAGTTTAATCTAAAATTTGTCTCATGACCCAAGATTCCAGAGTCCCAACTCTGGAGTTTGTTTTCCGTCTGTCTCTCTCCCTCCCTCATTTTAAATTTTACAGAAATATCCAGTAACATAATGCTATAGAAAATCAAGTTTCCCCAGCACGTTGGGAAGCCGAGGTGGGCGGATCAACTGAGATAAGGAGTTTGAGAGCAGCCTGGCCAATATAGTGAAACCGTGTCTCTGCTAAAAATCCAAAAATTAGCCGTGCCTGGTGGCAGGCACCTGTAACGCCAGCTACTCAAGAGGCTGAGGCATGAGAATCGCTTGAACCTGGGAGGCAGAAGTTGCAGTGAGCTGAGATTGTGTCACTGCAGTCCAGCCTGGGCGACAGAGCAAGACTCCGCCTCAAGAAAAAAAAGCAAATAGCCTATAATAACAAATTAGAGAGCTCTGGCTACTAAATTTAAAGGGTTCTATAAGGCTACATAAAGTGCAGCATCATCAAGAGTGTGGACACAGAGAGCCCCTTAGCAGAAACAGTGTCTAAAGTACATCCGTGTACACACAGTCCCTTTAGAGTTGACAAAGGCTGCCGTGTGGTTTAAGGTGGCATAGAATGTCTTCTCAATAAATAATATTAAACCAATGGGTTATACCTAGGAAAAAATAAATCTAACTCACACTATAAAAACACTTCTTAGTTTTTATCTAGTTGTACATTTTTTATGATTTATATTTAAATTTGAGAAATAAAAGTCATATACGGTCATCCTTCACTATTCGTGGGTGATTGGTTTCGAGATCTCCACTCAGATACCAAAATCTGTAGATGCTCAAGCCTCTTATATGAAATGGCACAGAGTTTGCAAATAACCTATGCACATCCTCCTGTATACATGAAATCATCTCTAGATTACTTATAATTCCTGATGCAGCCTACACACAGCTTCATTTGTGTCCATTCAACACAGTTCTGCTTTTTGTAACTCTGTGGATACTTTCTCTGAATATTTTTGATTTATACTCGGTTCAATAAAGAACTGTAAACCCCACAGATATGGAGGAGTGACTGTATATTTATAGTGTGAAAGATGATGTGTTGATATGTGTCCCTGTGTAGATGAGACTAACAAGGCCTATGATTCTACAAATGTTTCATCTTGGAATGACTCTGCCAGATTTCCAGGTCTGCAGAGAGTAAGAATATCACTTGTTCATGTGATTCACGATCCTTGGAACCTCCTATGTGCTACATCTTTGGATGGAAATAGGAGTCCCAGAGACAAATGAGGCTCCACCCTGCTTCCAGAAACTCAGAGTCCGGGGGTGAGAACCCAGTGGAGAACAGATGGGGTTATGTGGACATGGTAATGATAATGGAAGTCTTAGGCAAGAAAAGAGTCCCATTACCGAAACCATGAGGGCAGACATGTTTATTTGAAGGAGGGAAAACTACATTGAAATTATTTTAAAAAATATATAAGTTTTACTGCTGACAGAAGGCTGAAAGATACTCTGAGGGGAGGTGGAACAGCATGAGGGAAGGTGGAACAGGACGTGTCTAAGTGCCGTGTTAAGAGGGAGCCTCTTGTATGTTTGGAACTGTGAGTTCCTCAGTGTGATTGCAGCCTCAAGTAGACTAGGAAGTAAGCCAGTAAGGTTGGAGAGGTGGGCAGGGGTCAAGTGAAATGGAGAATTGTGGGCTAAGCAAAGGAGTGTGTTTTCTCTCCAGCAGGCAGTGGGGACCTTAGACATTTGTAAGCAAGAGAGAGGCACATTCAGATTTGTGGTGTGAGGAAGAGCGATGCCCTAAGATGCAGACTCACGCCTTCAGATTCCAGCTGCTGGTACATGGGAGCTGGCAACCCGGTTTTGAGACAGGGCTGTTGTCTCCCTAGAAGATCCCCTCAAGGCCTGACTGTGGTGCTCATGGGCAGGAGACAACTTTGGATCTGGACTCAGCATTTGGAAGTTCCGTGTACACTCTGGTATCTGTTGGGGGTGTCTTGGGCCTCTGAGAAGGGCGAGTGATTTTTCTCTGTGTGAAAACGCAGTGATCCAACTGTACGTATGTCACCTCCTGAGGGTCTTGTTCATCAGAGTCCTGGAGAGAGGGAAATCCTGAGTGAGGGAGGGTGCTCACGTTTTCCAGGACTGTTTGGGAATAACACTAGCCACGAGGCTGGGCCGAGGAGCACCTACCTCGCTATTCGCTGTTCTGTTCCCTGCAGGCTCTTGGTCCATTACAGCAGCATGTGTAGGAGACGGAAGTCAACAAAAGAGCTCGGAGGGCACTTCTGGGTCCTCATTTCATAAGCAGATACCAACAAACAGGGGGAGGCCATAGGTGCCTGAGGTCCCTCAGTTGCCAACAGCAGACTCAGACATTCTATCTCTCTGAGCTCAAGGACCCATCCCATGAATAGCTCTGAGTTCCCATCCCATTGATTCTGTCTCCCACTTTCTGCCTGTCATGGAACCTTCTCCTGGATGTGAGTGGCTGCAGGGGACATGAGGATACAGTTCAGAATCAGGCAACGGTCTGTGAGCTGAAAGCAGGGACAGGGAGTCTGGTGCCCTCTCTAGAAAGTCCTGCCTCTGTGGCTGCTGCCTTGGGCCAGGGACCATCCTACCTGTGAGGAACACACACCTGAGTGCTCCCATCCTGCTTCCCCACATGGCCCTGAGCTCTCTGGCCTCTCCTTCGTGAGACTTACTTTTCTTGTTGGAGCACCAGCGATGAAGGAGAAAGAAGAGGAGGAGGATGAAGAGGATGATGACCACTGAGGTCCCAATCAGAACGTGCAGGTGTCTTGGGTTACCTGGAAGAAGATGAGACACCAATAAGAAGCTAATCATAGCAGTTCCTCTTTATGAATTGTCTCGCATTTCTTGATTGACAGGTAACCACGTAAAACACCTCTTTAGGACAAGCACCCAGATGGCGGGAGACCCAGCTTTCTCCTGCTTTCTCAGTTATAGCTCTCAAAGTAACCATAGAATGTGCTGAGGACACAACTACTTTAGTTGAGATGTTTGACCCCTTCAAACCTCACATTGAAATTTCACCCCCATTGTGGGAGGTTGGGCCTCTTGAGAGGTGTTTGGGTCATGGAGGTGGATCCATCATGAACAGATCAATGCTGTCCCAAGGAGACGGGGTTAGCTAGTTCCCCCTCTATTAGTTCCTGGAGAGCTGGTTGTTCAAAAGAACTTGGAAGCTCCATCGCTCCCCCTCCCCCTTGCTCCCTCTCTTGCCGTGTGATCTCTGTGGTCTCTGCACAGACAGACCCTCCTTCCCTTCTGCCAGAGTGGGAGCAGCCTGAGGCCATCACGAGAAATAGATGCTGGTGCCATGCTTCCAGTACAGCCTGCAGAACGGTGAGGCAAACCAATCTCTTTTCTTTAGAAGTTGCCCAGGCTCAAGTGTTCCTTTAGAGCAACAAAAATGGACTAAGACAGCAACGTCCTGAGATCAGGAGGAACGTCCCAGAGCAGCCTGGGCTGTCTTCCTGTTCTTCCTGGAGGAGGACGTCATGCAGTGCTTTAGCTGAGTGCTTCCTGTGGCTCCAGGGTACAAAACCCAGGCTGGGCTGCTTTCTGGCTTCCCCCAGCTACACTGCAAATGGGGTGACTCCATATGTCCCGAGCAGCTTTTCTGAGCCTTGAGGGACTGGCTCACATTGAAATGTAGGCTTCTGTTTTCACTCGCTGCTTATCTGTTAGTAATGAACCTGCCTATGTAACGTATTCTCTGTGTGTTCTGTCTCCCTGGAGTGACGGTGAGTGATAGGAATTGGCGTAGGCCCAGGTGCAGTCTAGGAGGTGTTTAGGGTCTTTTCTGGGAAGACTGCACTGGGATTGACACACAGCGAATGTGCTTTAGGATTTCTACATCCACAGCATTCTTGAGTCAAACAACTTGCGTTCTCCAAGGAAAGGAAACAAAAGTGAAATCAAGATAAAAAAGCGAAATAGAGTTATCTTATGTCCAACAGCCAGGAAATCGTGTTGAAGCCCCTGTGAAACGTCCTACTCTTTGTGATCTCGGGAGACACATGTTAGGCTGCTGTTCTACCTGAGAGGCTGGGGGAAGGACCACCCCCTCCACCATCTATTGCTTCAATACCACCTGTCCTCCTGTGAATTAGTAGGAAAGGGGAGCAGGAGCTAGTGCTGGTGCTGATCTCTCATTCCAAGATCTGGACTCACTCCAAGGAGTATTAATGTTTACCTCCCCATGGTCTATCTGAATCTCCACAGGTGATTGGAAGTAGGGGTGAAGTGGGGGATTTGAGTGAGAGGGCAAGTTTTTTTTGTGATGAACAGAGCACTTTCTCTATTCCACGATCTGTGCTGGAGGATTCAGCGGGCTTTCACATTTTCTATATGGTCTCATGCTCACAGAAAGCCAAATACGGAAGAGGTTTTAGGCTCATTGCCTAATGGATAAGACAAAGGATCAAAGAAGTAATTATAGAGAAATACAAAAATGATGATTGGAATTCAGGTGCCTTTGTCATTCGTGTGTGTTTTATTATATTTATGCATTTCTTATTTTTATTTTTTGAGACGGAGTCTCCTTGTGTCACCCAGGCTGGAGTGCAGTGATGCAATCTCCACTCACTGCAACCTCCACCTCCTGGGTTGAAGTCGTTCTCCTGCTTCATCCTCAAGAGTAGGAGCTGGGATTACAGGGATGCACCACCATGCTCGGCTAATTTTTGTATTTTTCATAGAGACAGGGTTTCACCATTTTGGCCAGGCTGGTCTGGAACTCCTGACTTCAAGTGATCCACCCGCCTTGGCCTCCTGCAGTGCTGGGAATTGCCTTTTCCACGGCCTGAGCATGGGGCCGTGGCTGAATGAGTCAGTGAGTCGAAGTGTGCGTGCATGAGCTCCGTTCTCTGTTAAGGCAAAGCTCTTGCTCTGCTGAGTCAGCCAGGGTTGCTTCATGACCAACAGTAATTCATTCCTGGGCAAGTGGAACTTCTCTAAAACACCTCGCCCTCATCAAATGTTCCCTACCCTTCCCTCTCTCAAGCCCCCAGGAATTTATCCTCCAGTTAGGAATGCAGGCAGAACAAACATTGCATTTTTCCTGAGAAGGATGTCAGATTGCCAATCATTTTTCTAGCTTGTAGGAGATCTCAGCTCCATAAAATGAGAGATTAAGAGATTTCACAGAGCCCTGTTTTGGGTCCAGATCCCTTTCGCTGTTGGAGTATCTGGAGTTTGGAGATGGTAGAAGACAGGCGTACAATGTCAGAGCTGTGAGATGCTGAGTCAACGCCTGAATCCAAGGTTTCCACCTCCCCAGGTTTCCAAAAGCGGATATAAGAGGGTTCTGTACTCACCGGTTTTGGAGCTTGGTTCAGTGGGTGAAGGCCAACTATTTGAAGGGTTTCCTAGAACATGAGACAGGAGAGAGGTGAGGAAATGAGGGTGTCTGTCCTCTACTCAGTGGAAATCTTTGAGGTTGGTTCATGGCCAACACTCTGTTATCTAATATTGGGCCCTGGGAGTCCTGGGATCCTTTTTTCCGTAATTTTTGTATGTGACGGCTACTGTCTTGAGACTTCAAGGTATAAAGAGAAAACAGGAGCATCACACTACCTGATCTCAAAATATGTTACAGAGCTGTAGTAAGCAAGACAGCATGACGTTGGCATGAAGAAAGGCACATAGAACAACGGAGCAGAATGAATAACACAGATATAATCCATGCATTTACCTCCAATGTATTTTTTGTTTTTCTTTTGAGATGGAGTCTTGCTCTGTCACCCAGGCTGGAGTGCAGAGGTGCAATCTCGGTTCACTGCCACCACAGCCTCCTGGGTTCAATCACTTCTCTTGCCTCAAACTCCTGAGTAGTGGTATTACAGGTGCTGACCACCATGCTCAGCTAATTTTTATATTTTTAGTGGAGACGATGTTTCATCACGTTGGCCAGACTAATCTTGAACTCTTGGCCTCAGGTGATCCACCCACCTCGGGCTCCCAAAGTGCTGAAATTGCAGGTGTCAGCCACCATGCCCAGCCCATCCAATGGACTTTGACAAAGGTGCCAAGAACTCACAATCAGGAAAGGACAGTCTTTTCAATAAACAGTGCAGGGAAACCTGGACATCGACATGCAGAGGAATGAAACTGCACCTCTGCCTGTCACTATACACAAAAATCAAATGAAAATGGATTAAAGATGTGAGTCTAAGGCCTGAACCTATGAAACACGTAGAAGAAAATATTGGGGAAATGCTCCAGGACGTTTGTCTGAAGGAAGACATTTTGTTTTAAACCTTCAAAACACAAGTAATCGAAGCAAAAATAGACCATTGGGATTACCTCAAACTAAGCAACTTCTGCACCGCTAAAAATAAACCAACAAAGTGAAGAGACAACCCACAGATTGGGAGCAAATATGTGCAAACTATGCATCTGAGATGGGATTAATAACTAGAAATATAAGAAGCTCAAACAACTCAATAAAACAAATGATTTAATTGAAACAGGAGCAAAAGACATGAAATTTCCCCACATACGAAAAAGTGCTCAGTATCACTCATCATCAGAGAAACACAAATTAAAATCAAAGTGAGTTTTCATCTCACCCCATTAAAATGGCTTTTAGGCCGGGCGTGGTGGCTCACGTCTGTCATCCTAGAACTTTGAGAGCCTGAGGTGGGTGAATCTCATAAGGTCGGGAGTTTGAGACCAGTCTGACCCACATGGAGAAACACTGTCTCTACTAAAAATACAAAAATTAGTCGGGCGTGGTGGCGTGTGCCTGTAATTCCAGCTACTCGGGAGGCTGAGGCAGGAGAATCGCTTGAACCTGGGAGGTGGAGGTTGTGGTGAGCCGAGATCGCACCACTGCACTCAGCCTGGGTGACAAGAGCGAAACTCCATCTCAAAATAAAATGAAATAAAATAAAATGGCTTTTAGCTGCAAGACAGGCAAAAGAAATGCTGGCAAGGTGTTAGAGAAAGGAGAATCCTGGTATCCTGTTGGTAGGAGTGTAAATTAGTACAGCCATTACGGAGAAAAGTGTGGAAGTCCTTTAAAGAACTAAAAAGAGGTTGGGTGAGGTGGATCATGCCTGTAATCCCGGCACTTTGGGAGACCGAGGCGGGCACCTCAGTTGAGGTCATGAGTTTGAGAGCAGCCCAGCCAACATGGGGAAACCGCATCTATACTAAAAAAAACAAAAAGTAGCCAGGCATGGTGGCGTGCGCCTATAATCCCTGATACTAGGGAGGCTGAGGCAGGAAAATCATTTGAACCCAGGAGGCAGAGGTTGCAATGAGCCAAGATGACATCACTTGTACTCCAGCCTGGGCACAGAGGGAAACTGTCTCAAAAACAAAAACAAAACAACAAACGAAAAACTAAAAAGAGAACTTTCATAGTATCCAGCAATTTCACTACTGGGTTTATATCCAAAGGAAAGTAAATCAATATATCGAAGTGATATCTGCACTCGTATGATTGGTGCAGCACTCTTCACAGTAGCCAAGATGAGGAGTCAACCTACCTGCCCATCAGTGGGTGAATGGATAGAGAGAATGTGGTACATTTGCATAGTGGAGACTACTCTTCCATAGAAAGAAAAACATCCTGATATTTGCAGCCACATGGATGGAACTGGAGGTCATTACAAAGATTCCCATTTCTTACCCATATACAGGAGCTAAAAGGTGGATCTCATGAAGGTAGAGAGTAGAATGGTGGCTACCAGAGGCCAGGAAGAAAAGGGTGGAGGGTAAAAAAAAATATGTGTATATATATATATATTAATGTATTTATGACCACTAGACTTTACACTTAAAAATGGTAAATGTGGCTGGGCGTGGTGGCTCATGCCTGTAATCCCAGCACTTTGGGAGGCTGATGCGGGTGGATCACGTGGTCAGGAGTTCGAGACCAGCTTGACCAACATGGTGAAACCCCCTCTCTACTAAAAATACAAAAAGTAGCCTGGCATGGTGGTGCGCGCCTGTAGCACCAGCTACTCAGGTGGCTGAGGCAAGAGAATCGCTTGAACCCAGGAGGCGGAAGTTGCAGTGAGCTGAGATTGTGCCAATGCACTCCAGCATAGGGGACAGAGCTAGACTCCGCCTCAAAAAAAAAATGTTAAAGGTGGTAAGCTATATAGGTATATTTATCCTCAATAAATATTTCTCAAACAAAAGTAAAGGGTGTAGGGGTTGCAGGTGATGACATCCCTGTGTGGGTGGGAGGCCAGGATGGGCTTCTGGGAAATGGGTAATGTTGAGGGGCTGAGGGAACCTCTGATCTTCCCAAACTGAGCCCAGTCTCCCTCCTCTGGGTCTCTCCTGACCGCTTTCTCCATCTGCCTGGGTGCCTGGAGTCCTGGCCGCAGGCCTTCATGCAGGCCATGTAGGAGGGTTTGGAGGTGCCCTGTCTGCCATCCTGTGCCCTGATCCCTCCCTCACACCCAAGCTTCGTCTTCTCTCTGCATCTGTTCATCCTTCTCTCCATCCTCAGCAGGAAGCTCCTCAGCTAAGGCTCTAGGATCATAGGACATGGGACAGCCATGGGCTTTCCTCACCTGTGACAGAAACAAGCAGTGGGTCACTCGAGTTTGACCACTCGTAGGGAGAGTCACGGAAAGAGCCGAAGCATCTGTAGGTTCCTCCGTGGGTGGCAGGGCCCAGAGGAAAGTCAGCCTGGAATGTTCCGTTGACCTTGGGCCCTGCAGAGAACCTACGTTCATGGGCCTCCCCCTCCCTGGATAGATGGTACATGTCATAGGAGCTCCGGGAGCTGCAGGACAAGGTCACGCTCTCTCCTGCCAGAACCGTGGGGCCCGGCTGGGCTGAGAGAGAAGGTTTCTCATATAGACCTGGAAGGAGAAGAGGCATTTTCCTTACGGAGGATCTTCCTTGTCACAGCTCCCTTCACCTGAGCTGAGAACTCACTCCCCTGCTCTATGACCTAATGCTCTCTCTCTCTCTCTCTCTCACCCTCCACCCCATCTCTCTTCATGTCTATTTCCTCCTTCCACCTTCTCTGTCTCTCTAGGTCTCTGACCTCGCTTCCACACCTCTAGATATGTTTTCCCTTTTTGGATTGTTTTATTCTCTCTGACTCTCCTTGGATTGGTTGACTTGATGTTACTTTTTTAAATTCTAAGTTTCTCACTTTGTGTCCTGTTCATAACTTTCTGCATATTTCTATCTATTATCTATCGATCTATCTATTTATCTATTCGGTGCCTATCTACAAATTCTCTACCTGTCATCTATATCTATATATCATCTATGTATCTATCACTTGTCTATCTATCCATCAATCATCTGTTATCTATATCTATGTATCATCTCTCTCTCTATGACTTCTGTCTGCCTCTCTATCTCTATGTATTATCTATCTGTCTTCATCATCATCATCTCTATGTCTCATCTATTAATGAATCAATCAATCATCATCTATGTATCTTTAACCTATTATCTATCATCTACCTATTTATCATCTATCTATATCTATCCATCTATCATCTGTCTTGCTCTGCCTCTCGGTCTCTCTAGTTCTCTTTGGAATCTCTGCAATTCATCCCCACATCTCCATCTTTCTATGTCCTTGTGCCTCTCCCTCAGGAGTCTAATTTTAGTGCTTTTCTCTGCTCCCTTCCATCATTCTCACCACTCCTCTGCCCTCTTTTCTCTCTCTTTATGTGTCTGTGAGTCTCTCAATCTCCTTCCTCTGGCTCATTCTCTGTGTGTTTATGTCTTTGCTTTTTGGTGTCCCTGATTTCTCTCTGTGCCTCTCAGTGATCCTTTCATATGTGGGGTTATTTGGAATGTGAGCCTCAGAATCCAGTCTGGAGACCACAAGTTCACACAGCATACAGGAGTTGGTGTTCTGGGGCCATGATATCCTGGGACGGTTACTCTCCATTACATGGAAGGCAGAGGTGTCAGAATAAACACGGCATCTGTAGGTGCCACAAGGCCTGAGGCCACAGGGCCCAACTCAGGTCATAAATATGGGTGTCCTTGGGTTCTCCTGGTAGAGAACACTTTGTGGAGGTAAAACAGAAATGAAACTTCTAACCTGTGCCAGGTCTCTGAGCAAAGTCAGCATGGAGGGACACCTCTCTCTGGGACATGTCTGTCTGTCTGTCTCCTTTAACTCCTTCTGTCTTTTCTAACTCCCGGTATGGCCCCTGTGTCTGTCCTCTGTTATGACACCTGGTCTGTACTTGTGTCTCCTGTTTCTCTGTCTCTGTTGGTACAGACCTCACCAAGTCAGTCTCTCTCCATAAGAATACCAAGCTCATCTTCCTTACAACTACCTGGGGGTTCCAAGTCGTGGATCATTCACTCTGCATCCCAATGACAATGAGAAGAATGTCCGGACACTCTCACCTGTGATGACGATGTCCAGAGGGTCACTGGGAGCTGACAACTGATGGGGGAGTGAGTAACAGAACCGTAGCATCTGTAGGTCCCTGCCAGGTCTTCCATCATGGGACCGATGGAGAAGTTGGCCTTGGAAACCCCATCATGGTGCTCTCCAGTGAGGTGCAAAGTGTCGTTAAACTTCCCTTCTCTGTGCAGAAGGAAGTGCTGAAACCTGACATCTGACCAACATTGCAGGATGACTGTCTCTTCTGATTTCACCAGGGGACCTGGGTGGGCCAGGAGGGAAGGTTTTCTGTGGACTCCTAGGAAGAGAGGTTGTGAGTTTAGAAGGTGTCTCTCTTTATCATCCCATCCATGGCACCTAGAATGAGTGAGGCTTCCCCTTGCTGGTGTCTGTCTCTCTCCTTCCTCTCTGTGTCTTCATGTTCTTTTCTGTGCCCATAACTCCTGGTGCAGGTCCTTCCATCTGTCTCCCTCCCTCTTCTCTGTCCCTCTGTCTCTAGTCGCCTCTGATTCCCTTCCCACTGGGCTTAGCCTCATCTCTTGGGGTGTTGTATCTATTTCACACTAATGTCTTTCCTGCTGTTTATGTGGGGGTGAAAGAGGAACCAGGATAGGCTGCACATCCAGCCTCTTATCAGCCTGGTTCAATCTCTTTTGGATGAATTGGAATCCTTGGCAGTAGGTATGAACTGATGAATAAGGCAGGCACCAGTGTCCACACACCCTGTTCCTGGTCGGGACTGGGAGCCACTCTTGCCATGCCTGTGCCTTCTCCATGGTGCCAGCTTCCATAGGCTGGCTCCTGGTGCTGGTTTGAGGAGTATCAACCCCTCCCTATGTGGATGGAGCCTGGTGGTGGCATCATCATCCCACACTTGCTCATCTCGGTGTAGCCAACCTTCCCCTTGTTTGGTTCCTTTAATTAATTAATTAATTATGGAGACAGAGTCTCACTCCTTCACCCCAGCTGGAGTGAAGTGGTGTGGTCTAGGGTCACTGCAACCTCTGTCTCCTGGGTTCAAGTGATTCTCCTGCCCTCAGCCTCCCAAGTCGCTAGGATTACATGCGCCTGCCACCACACCCGGCTATCCTTGTGTTGTTTCTTACCTTGTCCTTGACCTGGGTTCCAGTGTTGGTTTCCTGTTGCTGCTGTAGAAAATTATCAGAAGCATGGCAGCAGGAGAGAGCACACTGACCCATTTCACTACTGGAGACAGAAATAGGACCCTGTTTTTCCTGGGCTAAAATCAAGGCATCTGCAGGGCTTCGTTCCCTCTGGAGACTCTGGAGAATCATTTCCTTGACTTTTCCAACCTCTACAGGCCACCTGCATTCATGGCTCCTGGCCTTCCTCCACCTTCAAAGCTGGTGGAGTCTCCCATTGCGCTGCTCTAATCCCCACTCCCCTCTTCCTCCTCCTTTCATGTGGACCCTTGTGATTACACTGAGCCCAGCGGGACAGTCCAGGCTGTCTCCCCATCTCAAGGTCAACTCATCAACAACCTGAGCTCCATCTTCCCCTTCAGTTCCTTCCCCTATAACATAAATAGTCACAGACTCCAGGGATTAGAATGTAGTCATCACTGGGGACAATTATTCTTCCCACCACAGCACCCATTTCCCTGTATTCAATCCCCCTTTACCCCAAATATAGTCAGGGCCTGGGTGATGGGACCCTCAAGGACACGCCCACCAGAAGCTCTGGGATTCAGGAGGTGGGAAAGGAGAATCCAAGACAGGAGCCCTCTGACCTGTGGCCATGATCACCAGGGTGTTGCTGGGTGCCGACCACCCACTGGGGTAGTGTGGGTGTGAACCCCGACATCTGTACGTCCCTGTGTGTGCTGGGGTCACAGGGCCCATGAAAAGGCTCTTCCAGAATATTCTGTTGTAGAGCTCAGTGCCAGGCACCCCATCTTCCTTTTACAGACTGAAGTTGTTAAACCCAAGATAAGAATGACACCGAAGAATCACATGTCCTGGAGGCACCACAGAGCTGGGCCAGGCAGACAGCAAGGGCTTGTCCTGACCACCTTGGGGAGAAGGAGGCACCGCCTTAGAGAGGAGGATGTGGAGCCACCCCTCCCTCCCTGTGCTCTGAAGATTCTCCTCGCTTTCCAAGTTTCTATGGCTGCTATCACACCTTGGTGCCCAGGGCTAAAGGAAGGACCCATCCCGCAAACACAAGGTGTCTCCCTACAACAAAAGTGTCAGCTGAGAACTTTGAGCAAGTGCTGAGTAAGAGACTCCTACTAGATTTTAATACTGTAAGATTACTCACATAAAACAACACAGGGTAGACATGGGGTGGAGGGCATGTCTTTGAGAATGGAATATCAGCAGATGCCTGAATGAAAATAAGCAACTGAGCCCCCATCAGAGGATTTGGAATGTCAGGGCCATGGCTGTGGTTTCCCACCTCTTCTGGTGGAGTGACAGCAGCCACACTGCAGCCCCTACCGTCATGGAAACGCTGAAGTGTGAGTAACACCTTTGTCCTCAGAGGATCTGCTGTTCCTACCACTTCCCCACCACGCACCCCAGCTTTGAGCACCCCAGTCTAACCCTGGTCCCCACAGAACTTGACTCTGCCAAGGGAATGAAAGGCCAGGGAGGCGAGGTCGGAACTGTGGGCCGAGCACCCCAGGGTCCCCTCTTCCTAGTTTATGAGAGGCTCCCTGACAGGACTTCCCTCCTGTTTCAGGAAAATCCTCTTATGTGGGGAGATGACACCCTAAGGTTTGGAGAAGGACTCACCCTCATGTGGCCAGGCCCCCTGCAGCAAGAAGAACCCTGGAAAGAAAGATCATGATGGACGATCCATCTGCAGGCAAACCAGCCCTCCCTTGCTGCCCTCACTGGGCTGTGAGTCTTGGTAGGCAGGCCCTTCCTGGACTGAAGTTAAACTCACCCTCAGTGCCTACCTGCACCCAAGAACAGGGCTGTCGGCTGTGCAGAGACCCAGCCTCCAAGCCCAGATCCCCACCACAAGCCCATATCCCCACCACAAGCCCATATCTCCACTCCAGGCCAATATTTCCACCCTAGGCCTGTATCTCCACTCCAGGCCCATATCTCCACTCCAGGCCGATATTTCCATCATAGGCCCATATCGCCAATCCAGGCCCATATCGCCAATCCAGGCCAAGATCTCCACTGTAAGCCCATATCTCCAATCCAGGCCCATATCTCCACTCCAGGCTCAGATCTCCAACCTAGGCCCATATCTCCAATCCAGGCCCATATCTCCACACCAGGCCCATATCTCTACTGAAGGCCAGTAACTCCACCTCCAGGCCCATATCTCCACTCCAGGCCCAGATCTCCACCCCAAGCCCATATCTCCACCCCAGGCCCATATCTCTACTGAAGGCCCGTAACTCCACCTCCAGGCCCATATCTCCACCCCAGGCCCAGATCTCCACCCCAAGCCCATATCTCCACTCTAGGCCCATATCTCCTCTCCAGTCCCATATCTCCACAACCAGGCCCATATCTCCATCCTAGGCCCATATTTCCACTCTAGGCCCAGATATCCACCTCTAGGCCCATATCTCCACTCCTGGCCCAAATCTCCACTCCAGGCCCATATCTCTACTATAGGCCTATAACTCCACCTCCAGGCCCATATCTCCACTCCAGGCTCCTATCTCCCCTCCAGGTTCCTATCGGCACTCCAGGCCCAGATCTCCACTTCTAGGCCCATCACTCCATCTCTAGGCCCATATATCCACTCCAGGCCCAGATCTCCACTCCAGGCCCACAACTCCACCTCCAGGCCTATATCTCCACCTCTGGGCCCAGATCTCCAACCCCACACTCCCTTCCTCTATTCCCTTCCAGGACTCACCAACACACGCCATGCTGACGACCGTGAGCGACATGGTGCTGCCGGTGCAGACAGGCGGCCGTGCCCCAGCTCAGCTCAGCAGCGCACAGGATGTTATTTGGCGCCCTGCCCATGCAGTTTACATGTTGACCACATCATGGGAGGGTGACGTACGCAGGCTTATTCTACCTTGCATGAGGCCCAGTGGGTGCTCGCTCAAGAGCGGAACACGGCTTCCTGGAAATTGTTCTCACTAGAATTTACACCTAGCGTCCTTCACTATGACCAACTCAAAACACGTCTCAGATCCAACCTCCTGAACACGAGATGCCTAAAATCTGTGCTAACGTGAAAGACTTTTCATGTATTTTTATTGTTTTTATCTGAGATTCAAACTCTTCTTCATGTGTAATATGCAAAATATTTAATAGGTATTATTAAGGTTTTCAGAGTCATTGTGACTAATAAACCATTAGAATTTTTCATGCTTGTATTTCTAGTATTACAGCAGAACCAGTTAAAATGATTTAAATTCCCAGGGAAGGATTATGCAATTATTTACAATCTTAGAATTGTACTTTATCAGCAAAAACCACACCTGTAAATTCTGGAGTTTTGTAGTTTAATCTAAAATTTGTCTCATGACCCAAGATTCCAGAGTCCCAACTCTGGAGTTTGATCTCTCTCTGTCTCTCTGCCTCCCTCATTTTAAATTTTACAGAAATATCCAGTAACATAATGCTATAGAAAATCAAGTTTCCCCAGCACGTCGGGAAGCCGAGGTGGGCGGATCAACTGAGATGAGGGGATTGAGAGCAGCCTGGCCAACATAGTGAAACCGTGTCTCTGCTAAAAATCCAAAAATTAGCCATGCCTGGTGGCAGGCACCTGTAACGCCAGCTACTCAAGAGGCTGAGGCACGAGAATCGCTTGAACCTGGGAGGCGGAGGTTGCAGTGAGCTGAGATTGTGTCACTGCAGTCCAGCCTGGGCGACAGAGCAAGACTCCGCCTCAAGAAAAAAAAAAGCAAATAGCCTATAATAACAAATTAGAGGGCTCTGGCTACTAAATTTAAAGGGTTCTATAAGGCTACATAAAGTGTAGCATCATCAAGTGTGTGGACACAGACAGCCCCTTAGCAGAAACTGTCTAAAATACATCCATGTACACACAGTCCCTTTAGAGTTGACAAAGGCTGCCGTGTGGTTTAAGGTGGCATAGAATGTCTTCTCAATAAATAATATTAAACCAATGGGTTACACCTAGTAAAAAATAAATCTAACTCACACTATAAAAACACTTCTTAGTTTTTATCTAGTTGTACATTTTTTGATTTATATTTAAATTTGAGAAATAAAAGTCATATACGGTCATCCTTCACTATTCGTGGGTGATTGGTTTCGAGATCTCCACTCAGATACCAAAATCTGTAGATGCTCAAGCCTCTTATATGAAATGGCACAGCGCTTGCAAATAACATATGCACATCCTCCTGTATACATGAAATCATCTCTTGATTACTTATAATTCCTGATACAGCCTACACACAGCTTCATTTGTGTCCATTCAACATAGTTATGAGTTTTGGAACTCTGTGGATATTTTCTCTGAATATTTTTGATTTATACTTTGTTCAATAAAGACCTGTAAACCCCACAGATACGGAGGAGTGACCGTATATTTATAGTATGAAAGATGATGTGTTGATATGTGTCCCCATGGAGATGAGACTAACAAGGCCTATGACTCTACAAATGTTTCATCGTGGAATGACTCTGCCAGCTTTCCAGGTCTGCAGAGAGTAACAATGTCACTTGTTCATGTGATTCCCGATCCTTGGAACCTCCTATGTGCTGCATCTTTGGATGGAAATTGGAGTCCCAGAGACAAATGAGGCTCCACACTGCTTCCAGAAGCTCAGAGTCCAGAGGTGAGAACCCGGTGGAGAACAGATGGGATTATATGGACATGGTACTGATAACACCGGAAGCCTTAGGCAAGAAAAGAGTCCCATTACCTAAACCATGAGGGCAGACATGTTTATTTGAAGGAGGGAAAACTACATTGAAATTATTTTAAAAAATATATAAGTTTTACTGCTGACAGAAGGCTGAAAGCTAGTCTGAGGGGAGGTGGAACAGCATGAGGGAAGGTGGAACAGCACGTGTCTAAGTGCCGTGTTAAGAGGGAGCCTCTTGTATGTTTGGAATTGTGAGTTCCTCAGTGTGATTGCAGCCTCAAGTAGACTAGGAAGTAAGCCAGTTAGGTTGGAGAGGTGGGCAGGGGTCAAGTGAAATGGAGAATTGTGGGCTAAGCAAAGGAGTGTGTTTTCTCTCCAGCAGGCAGTGGGGACCTTAGACATTTGTAAGCAAGGGAGAGGCACGTTCAGATTTGTGGTGTGAGGAAGAGCGATGCCCTAAGATGCAGACTCACGCCTTCAGATTCCAGCTGCTGGTACATTGGAGCTGGCAACCCAGTTTTGAGACAGGGCTGTTGTCTCCCTAGAAGATCCCCTCAAGGCCTGACTGTGGTGCTCATGGGCAGGAGACAACTTTGGATCAGGGCTCAGCATTTGGAAGTTCCGTGTACACGATGATATCTGTTGGGGGTGTCTTGGGCCTCTGAGAAGGGCGAGTGATTTTTCTCTGTGTGAAAACGCAGTGATTCAACTGTGCATATGTCACCTCCTGAGGGTCTTGTTCATCAGAGTCCTGGAGAGAGGGAAATGCTGAGTGAGGGAGGGTGCTCACATTTTCCAGGACTCTTTGGGAATAACACTAGCCACGAGGCTGGGCCGAGGAGCACCTACCTCCCTGTTCACTGTTCTGTTCCCTGCAGGCTCTTGGTCCATTACAACAGCATCTGTAGAAGACGGAAGTCAACAAAACAGCTCAGAGGGCACTTCTGGGCCCTCATTTCATAAGCAGATACCAACATACAGGGGGAGACCATAGGAGCCTGAGGTCCCTCAGTTGCCAACAGCAGACTCAGACATTCTATCTCTCTGAGCTCAAGGACCCATCCCATGAATAGCTCTGAGTTCCCATCCCATTGATTCTGTCTCCCACTTTCTGCCTGTCATGGAACCTTCTCCTGGATGTGAGTGGCTGCAGGGGACATGAGGATACAGTTCAGAATCAGGCAATGGTCTGTGAGCTGAAGGCAGGGACAGGGAGTCTGGTGCTCTCTCTAGAAAGTCCTCCCTCTGTGGCTGCTGCCTTGGGCCAGGGACCATCCTGTCTGTGAGGAACACACACCTGAGTGCTCCCATCCTGCTTCCCCACATGGCCCTGAGCTCTCTGGCCTCTGCTTCGTGAGACTTACTTTTTTTGTTGCAGCACCAGCGATGAAGGAGAAAGAAGAGGAGGAGGATGAAGAGGATGATGACCACTGAGGTCCCAATCAGAACATGCAGGTGTCTGGGGTTACCTGGAAGAAGAGGAGACACCAATAAGAAGCTAATCATAGCAGTTCCTCTTTATGAATTGTCTCACATTTCTTGATTGACAGGTAACCACATACAACACCCCTTTAGGACAAGCACCCAGATGGAGGGAGACCCAGCTTTCTCCTGCTTTCTCAGTTATAGCTCTCATAGTAACCATAGAACGTGTTGAGGATACAACTACTTTAGTTGAGATGTTTGACCCCTTCAAACCTCACATTGAAATTTCACCCCCACTGTGGGAGGTTGGGCCTCTTGAGAGGTGTTTGGGTCATGGAGGTGGATCCATCATGAACAGACCAATGCTGTCCCAAGGAGACGGGGTTAGCAAGTTCCCCTTCTATTAGTTCCTGGAGAGCTGGTTGTTCAAAAGAGCTTGGAAGCTCCATCGCTCCCCCTCCCCCTTGCTCCCTCTCTTGCCGTGTGATCTCTGTGGTCTCTGCACAGACAGACCCTCCTTCCCTTCTGCCAGAGTGGGAGCAGCCTGAGGCCGTCACGAGAAATAGATGCTGGTGCCACGCTTCCAGTACAGCCTGCAGAACTGTGAGGCAAACCAATCTCTTTTCTCTAGAAGTTACCCAGGCTCAAGTGTTCCTTTAGAGCAACAAAAATGGACTAAGACAGCAACGTCCTGAGATCAGGAGGAACGTCTCAGAACAGCCTGGGCTGTCTTCCTGTTCTTCCTGGAGGAGGACGTCATGCAGTGCTTTAGCTGAGTGCTTCCTGTGGCTCCACAGTACAAAACCCAGGCTGGGCTGCTCTCTGGCTTCCCCCAGCTACACTGCAAATGGGGTGACTCCATATGTCCCGAGTAGCTTTTCTGAGCCTTGAGGGACTGGCTCACATTGAAATGTAGGTTTCTGTTGTCACTCGCTGCTTATCTGTTAGTAATGAACCTGCCTGTGTAATGTATTCTCTGTGTGTTCTGTCTCCCTGGAGTGACGGTGAGTGATAGGAATTGGCATAAGCCCAGGTGCAGTCCAGGAGGTATTTAGAGTCTTCTCTGGGAAGACTGCACTGGGATTGATACACAGCGAATGTGCTTTAGGATTTCTACATCCACAGCATTCTTGAATCAAACAACTTGCATTCTCCAAGAAAAGGAAACAAAAGTGAAATCAAGATAAAAAAAGCTAAGTAGAATTCTCTTATGTCAAATGGCCAGGAAATAGTGTTGAAGCCCGTGTGAAACGTGCTACTCTTTGTGATCTCGGGAGACACATGTTAGGCTGCTGTTCTACCCGAGAGGCTGGGGGAAGGACCACCCCCTCGGCCATCTATTGCTTCAATACCACCTGTCCTCCTGTGAATTAGTAGGAAAGGGGAGCAGGAGCTAGTGCTGGCACTGATCTCTGATTCCAAGATCTGGACTCACTCCAAGGAGTATCAATGTTTACCTCCCCATAGCCTATCTGAATCTCCACAGGTGATTGGAAGTAGGGGTGAGGTGGGGGATTTGGGTGAGTGGGCAAGTTTTTTGTTGCGATGAACAGAGCACTTTCTCTATTCCACGATCTGTGCTGGAGGATTCTGAGGGCTTTCACATTTTCTATGTGATCTCATTCTCACAGAAAGCCAAATAGGGAAGAGGTTTTAAGCTCATTGCCTAATGGATAAGATAAAGGATCAAAGAAGTAATTATAGAGAAATAGAAAAACGATGATTGGAATTCAGGTGCCTTTGTCATTCGTGTGTGTTTTATTATATTTATGTATTTCTTATTTTTATTTTTTGAGATAGAGTCTCCTTGTGTCCCCCAGGCTGGAGTGCAGTGATGCAATCTCCACTCACTGCAACCTCCACCTACTGGGTTGAAGTCATTCTCCTGCTTCATCCTCCAGAATAGGAGCTGGGATTACAGGGATGCACCATCGTGCTCGGCTAATTTTTGTATTTTTAGTAGAGATAGGGTTTCACCACGTTGGCCAGGCTGGTCTGGAACTCCTGACTTCATGGAATCCACCCACCTTGGCCTCCTGCAGTGCTAGGTTACAGGCGTGAGCCACTGTTCACAGACTTGTATATTATGCTATAATAAGTCTCTTCATTTCCACCACCACTCATATATCTGTCACTCCTTTGCCAGGTATTGATTTATGTGTAGGATGAATAAATCTCAGAAAGAAATTAATTAAGCGAGGATTAAACAAGTAGGAAAATCAAACCCAGTAAGCGTTTCCAGTCAATGATTCTACCTCACAAACATATCTTATATCCATCTACTTCATTCATTTAGTGTCTAAATCAGCACCACATTTCACCAGTGGGGTGGCAATTGCCTTTTCCACGGTCTCCTAGATTCCAGTTATGCAACTGAGCCTCCCTTATTTTCATGTCAGTCATATTAATCATGTAGGGATTCCTGGTTACCCCGAGGTGAATCCAATGGCTGTGAGTGTCAAACACACACTCCTTGTTGCTCCTTAGTTTCCTGTGTACCCAGTGTGCTCTCCGTCTCTCTACAGTCGTCTTGTCATTCTCCCCACATCATTCCCAGCATTTGAGGCAGAGCCTCTTCCTTCCACATCAGATTGTTTTCACCTTTGTGCCTTCACGGCTGACAGCTGTGTGTGCAAAATCCTTCCGCCAATCTTTCAGGGGTTCAATCCGTGTTTTTCATTAATGTCACAAATATCTGAATAGTGAGACCTTCTTTGTCACCTGAAATCATACACTCAGCATTATCTATTATTGATTTTGAATTCTGGCTGGGCACAGTGGCTCACGCCTGTAGTCCCATTACTTTGGCATGCTGAGACGGTCGGATCACTTGAGGTTGGGAGTTTCAGACAAGCTTGGCCAACGTGGTGAAACATCCTCTCTACAAAAAATATACAAAAAGAATTAGCCGGGCACGGTGGCAGTTGCCTGTAATCCCAGCTACTCGAGAGGCGGAGGCAGGAGAATCACTTGAATCCAGGAGACGCAGGTTGCAGTGAGCCAAGATCGTGACACTGCACTGTAGCCTGGAAGACAGAGGGCGACTCTGTCTCAATAAACAAAAGAACAAACAAAAAATAGATTTCATGCACAGATGCTTCCCAATGGATCATTCATTTATAGATCCACTTGTGCATTCATTTTCTGCCCTCCCATTTAACCATCTGCAATATCAGTGTCCCAAGGGCAGAAGCCAAATGCATCTTGTTCACCGTTTGTGGAAGGCAGGAGAATGCTGTCCCACCCCAAAATGTCCCTGTCCTAGCCTCCATAGCTTGTGAATATGTTATTTTACATGGAAAGGAGGAATGAAGATTGTAGATGGAATTGCGGTTGCTAATCAGCTGAACTTAAAACAAGGGTATCCTGGATGATTTCCAGGAGATTATGAGGGATTTTCATCTTGGTGAACCCAATAGAATCCCCAAGTTTTCAAAAGATAAGGAAGAAGGGAGAGCAGCATTCAGAGAAAGAGGTGTGGTAAGGAAGAAGGCACTGAGTGATGCCATGTGAGATGTGACCAGTCTTTGTGGGCTTTGAGGAAGGAGGAAGGGGAACAGGAGCCAAGGAACTGGGAGCCTTTAGAAGCTGGGATAAGTGAGAAGCAGATTCTTGCCTGGAATCCTCAGAGGGAAGGCAGCCTTGCTGTCACCTTGATTTTAGCCCAGTAAGATGCACTTCCTACTTTGAGCTACAGCACTGTAAGATAATTAAAAAACCGTTTTGTTTTCACCCACGAATCTTGTGGAAATTTGTTATGGCAACAATAGGAAAAGGTTCCGCACTGCACAGCCTGAGCATGGGGCCGTGGCTGAATGAGTCAGTGAGTCGAAGTGTGCGTGCATGAGCTCCGTTCTCTGTTACGGCAAGGCTGTTGCTCTGCTGAGTCAGCCAGGGTTGCTTCATGACCAACAGTAATTCATTCCTTGGCAAGTGGAACTTCTCTAAAACACCTCGCCCTCATCAGATGTTCCCTTCCCTTCCCTCTCTCAAGCCCCCAGGAATTTATCCTCCAGTTAGGAATGCAGGCAGAACAAACATTGCATTTTTCCTGAGAAGGATGTCAGATTGGCAATCATTCTTCTAGCTTGTAGGAGGTCTCAGCTCCATAAAATGAGAGATTAAGAGATTTCACTGAGCCCTAGGTTGGGCCCAGATCCCTTTCGCTGTTGGAGTATCTGGAGTTCGGAGATGGTAGAAGACAGGCGTACAATGTCAGAGCTGCGAGATGCTGAGTCAATGCCTGCATCGAAGGTTTCTACCTCCCCAGGTTTCCAAAAGCGGATATAAGAGGGTTCTGTACTCACCGGTTTCGGAGCTTGGTTCAGTGGGTGAAGGCCAACTATTTGAAGGGTTTCCTAGAACACGAGACAGGAGAGAGGTGAGGAAATGAGGGTGTCTGTCCTCTACTCAATGGAAATCTTTGAGGTTGGTTCATGGCCAACACTCTGTTATCTAATATTGGGCCCTGGGAGTCCTGGGATCCTTTTTTCCGTAATTTTTGTATGTGACGCCCACTGTCTTGAGACTTCAAGGTATAAAGAGAAAACAGGAGCATCACACTACCTGATCTCAAAATATGTTACAGAGCTGTAGTAAGCAAAACAGCATCACATTGGCATAAAGAAAGGCACGTAGAACAATGGAGCAGAATGAAGAACACAGATATAATCCATGCATTTACCTCCAATGTTTTTTTCTTTTTTCTTTTGAGATGGAGTCTCGCTCTGTCACCCAGGCTGGAGTGCAGAGGTGCAATCTCGGTTCACTGCCACCACAGCCTCCTGGGTTCAATCAATTCTCTGGCCTCAAACTCCTGAGTAGTGGTATTACAGGTGCTGACCACCATGCTCAGCTAATTTTTATATTTTTAGTGGAGACAATGTTTCATCACGTCGGCCAGACTAATCTTGAACTCCTGGCCTCAGGTGATCCACCCGCCTTGGGCTCCCAAAGTGCTGAAATTGCAGGTGTCAGCCACCATGCCCAGCCCATCCAATGGACTTTGACAAAGGTGCCAAGAACTCACAATCAGGAAAGGACAGTCTTTTCAATAAACAGTGCAGGGAAACCTGGACATCTACATGCAGAGGAATGAAACTGCACCTCTACCTGTCACTATACACAAAACTCAAATGAAAATGGATTAAAGATGTGAGTCTAAGGCCTGAACCTATGAAACACGTAGAAGAAAATATTGGGGAAATGCTCCAGGACATTTGTCTGAAGGAAGACATTTTGTTTTAAACCTTCAAAACACAAGTAATCGAAGCAAAAATAGACCATTGGGATTACCTCAAACTAAGCAACTTCTGCACCGCTAAAAATAAACCAACAAAGTGAAGAGACAACCCACAGATTGGGAGCAAATATGTGCAAACTATGCATCTGAGATGGGATTAATAACTAGAAATATAAGAAGCTCAAACAACTCAATAAAACAAACGATTTAATTGAAAAAGGAGCAAAACACATGAAATTTCCCCACATACTAAAAAGTGCTCAGTTTCACTCATCATCAGAGAAACACAAATTAAAATCAAAGTGAGTTTTCATCTCACCCCATTAAAATGGATTTTAGGCCGGGCGTGGTGGCTCACGTCTGTCATCCTAGACCTTTGAGAGCCTGAGGTGGGTGAACCTCATAAGGTCGGGAGTTTGAGACCAGTCTGACCCACATGAAGAAACACTGTCTCTACTAAAAATACAAAATTTAGTTGGGCGTGGTGGCGTGTGCCTGTAATTCCAGCTACTCGGGAGGCTGAGGCAGGAGAATCGCTTGAACCTGGGAGGTGGAGGTTGTGGTGAGCCGAGATCGCACCACTGCACTCCAGCCTGGGTGACAAGAGCGAAACTCCATCTCAAAATAAAATGAAATAAAATAAAATGGCTTTTAGCTGCAAGACAGGCAAAGGAAATCCTGCCAAAGTGGTAGAGAAAGGAGAACCCTAATACCCTGTTGGTAGGAGTGTAAATTAGTACAGCCTTTACGGAGAAAAGTGTGGAAGTCCTTTAAAGAACTAAAAAGAGGTTGGGTGAGGTGGATCATGCCTGTAATCCCGGCACTTTGGGAGACCGAGGCGGGCACCTCAGTTGAGGTCATGAGTTTGAGAGCAGCCCAGCCAACATGGGGAAACCCCATCTATACTAAAAAAAACAAAAAGTAGCCAGGCATGGTGGCGTGCACCTGTAATCCCAGCTACTAGGGAGGCTGAGGCAGGAAAATCATTTGAACCCAGGAGGCGGAGGTTGCAATGAGCCAAGATGACTTCACTTGTACTCCAGCCTGGGCACAGAGGGAAACTGTCTCAAAAACAAAAACAAAACAACAAACGAATAACTAAAAAGAGAACTTTCATAGTATCCAGCAATTTCACTACTGGGTTTATATCCAAAGGAAAGTAAATCAATATATCGAAGTGATATCTGCACTCGTATGATTGGTGCAGCACTGTTCACAGTAGCCAAGATGTGGAGTCAACCTACCTGCCCATCAGTGGATGAATGGATAGAGAGAATGTAGTACATACGCACAGTGGAGACTACTCATCCATAGAAAGAATAACATCCTGATATTTGCAGCCACATGGATGGAACTGGAAGTCATTACAAAGATTCCCATTTCTCACCCATATACAGAGCTAAAAGGTGGATCTCATGAAGGTAGAGAGTAGAATGGTGGCTTCCAGAGGCCAGGAATAAAAGGGTGGAGGGTAAAAAAAAAAAAAAAAAAAAAATATATATATATATATATATATATATATATATATATATGTTTATATATGTGTGTGTGTGTGTATATATATATATATATATATATATATATATATAAATGTATTTATGACCACTAGACTTTACACTTAAAAATGGTAAATGTGGCTGGGCGTGGTGGCTCATGCCTGTAATCCCAGCACTTTGGGAGGCAGATGCGGGTGGATCACGTGGTCAGGAGTTGGAGACCAGCTCGACCAACATGGTGAAACCCCCTCTCTACTAAAAATACAAAAAGTAGCCTGGCGTGGTGGTGCGCGCCTGTAGCACCAGCTACTCAGGTGGCTGAAGCAGGAGAATCACTTGAACCCAGGAGGCGGAAGTTGCAGTGAGCTGAGATTGTGCCACTGCACTCCAGCATAGGGGACAGAGCTAGACTCTGCCTCAAAAAAAAAAAAAATGTTAAAGGTGGTAAGCTATATAGGTATATTTATCCTCAATAAATATTTCTTCAAACAAAAGTAAAGGGTGTAGGGGTTGCTGGTGATGACATCCCTGTGTGGGTGAGAGGCCAGGATGGGCTTCTGGGAAATGGGTAATGTTGAGGGGCTGAGGGAACCTCTGATCTTCCCAAACTGAGCCCAGTCTCTCTCCTCTGGGTCTCTCCTGACCGTTTTCTCCATCTGCCTGTGTGCCTGGAGCCCTGGCCGCGGGCCTTCATGCAGGCCGTGTAGGAGGGTTTGGAGGTGCCCTGTCTGCCATCCTGTGCCCTGATCCCTCCCTCACACCCAAGCTTCGTCTTCTCTCTGCATCTGTCCATGCTTCTCTCCATCATCAGCAGGAAGCTCCTCAGCTAAGGCTCTAGGATCATAGGACATGAGACAGATATGGGGTTTCCTCACCTGTGACAGAAACAAGCAGTGGGTCACTCGAGTTTGACCACTCGTATGGAGAGTCACGGAAAGAGCCGAAGCATCTGTAGGTTCCTCCGTGGGTGGCAGGGCCCAGAGGAAAGTCGGCCTGGAATGTTCCGTTGACCTTGGGCCCTGCAGAGAACCTACGTTCATGGGCCTCCCCCTCCCTGGATAGATGGTACATGTCATAGGAGCTCCGGGAGCTGCAGGACAAGGTCACGCTCTCTCCTGCCAGAACCGTGGGGCCCGGCTGGGCTGAGAGAGAAGGTTTCTCATATAGACCTGGAGGAGAAGAGGCATTTTCCTTACGGAGGATCTTCCTTGTCACAGCTCCCTTCACCTGAGCTGAGAACTCACTCCCCTGCTCTATGACCTAATGCTCTCTCTCTCTCTCTCTCTCACCCTCCACCCCATCTCTCTTCATGTCTATTTCCTTCTTCCACCTTCTCTGTCTCTCTAGGTCTCTGACCTCGCTTCCCCACCTCTAGATATGTTTTCCCTTTTTGGATTCTTTTATTCTCTCTGACTCTCCTTGGATTGGTTGACTTGATGTTACTTTTTTAAATTCTAAGTTTCTCACGTTGTGTCCTGTTCATAACTTTCTGCATATTTCTATCTATTATCTGTCGATCTATCTATTTATCTATTCGGTGCCTATCTACAAATTCTCTACCTGTCATCTATATCTATATATCATCTATGTATCTATCACTTGTCTATCTATCCATCAATCATCTGTTATTTATATGTATGTATCATCTCTCTCTCTATGATTTCTGTCTGCCTCTCTATCTGTACGTATTATCTGTCTTCATCATCATCATCTCTATGTATTATCTATTAATGAATCAATCAATCATCATCTATGTATCTTTAACCTATTATCTATCATCTACCTATTTATCATCTATCTATATCTATCCATCTATCATCTGTCTTGCTCTGCCTCTCGGTCTCTCTAGTTCTCTTTGGAATCTCTGCAATTCATCCCCACATCTCCATGTTTCTATGTCCTTGTGCCTCTCTCTCAGGACTCTAATTTTAGTGCTTTTCTCTGCTCCCTGCCATCATTCTCACCACTCCTCTGCCCTCTTTTCTCTCTCTTTATGTGTCTGTGAGTCTCTCAATCTCCTTCCTCTGGCTCATTCTCTGTGTGTTTATGTCTTTGCTTTTTGGTGTTCCTGATTTTTCTCTGTGCCTCTCAGTGATCCTTTCATATGTGGGGTTATTTGGAATGTGAGCCACAGAATCCAGTCTGGAGACCACAAGTTCACACAGCATACAGGGGTTGGTGTTCTGGGGCCATGATATCCTGGGACGATTACTCTCCATTACATGGAAGGCAGAGGTGTCAGAATAAACATGGCCTGTAGGTGCCACAAGGCCTGAGGCCACAGGGCCCAACTCAGGTCATAAATATGGGTGTCCTTGGGTTCTCCTGGTAGAGAACACTTTGTGGAGGTAAAACAGAAATGAAACTTCTAACCTGTGCCAGGTCTGTGAGCAAAGTCAGCATGGAGGGACACCTCTCTCTGGGACATGTCTGTCTGTCTGTCTCTTTTAACTCTTTCTGTCTTTTCTAACTCCCTGTATGGCCCCTGTGTCTGTCCTCTGTTATGACACCTGGTCTGTACTTGTGTCTCCTGTTTCTCTGTCTCTGTTGGTACAAACCTCAGCAAGTCAGTCTCTCTCCATAAGAATACCAAGCTCATCTTCCTTACAACTACCTGGGGGTTCCAAGTCGTGGATCATTCACTCTGCATCCCAATGACAATGAGAATGTCCGGACACTCTCACCTGTGATGACGATGTCCAGAGGGTCACTGGGAGCTGACAACTGATAGGGGGAGTGAGTAACAGAACCGTAGCATCTGTAGGTCCCTGCAAGGTCTTGCATCATGGGACCGATGGAGAAGTTGGCCTTGGAGACCCCATCATGGTGCTCTCCAATGAGGTGCAAAGTGTCCTTAAACTTCCCTTCTCTGTGCAGAAGGAAGTGCTGAAACCTGACATCTGACCAACATTGCAGGATGACTGTCTCTTCTGATTTCACCAGGGGACCTGGGTGGGCCAGGAGGGAAGGTTTTCTGTGGACTCCTAGGAAGAGAGGTTGTGAGTTTAGAAGGTGTCTCTCTTTATCATCCCATCCATGGCACCTAGAATGAGTGAGGCTTCCCCTTGCTGGTGTCTGTCTCTCTCCTTCCTCTCTGTGTCTTCATGTTCTTTTCTGTGCCCTTAACTCCTGGTGCAGGTCCTTCCATCTGTCTCCCTCCCTCTTCTCTGTCCCTCTGTCTCTAGTAGCCTCTGATTCCCTTCCCACTGGGCTGAGCCTCATCTCTTGGGGTGTTGTATCTATTTCACACTAATGTATTTCCTGCTGTTTATGTGGGGGTGAAAGAGGAACCAGGATAGGCTGCACATCCAGGCTCTTATCAGCCTGGTTCAATCTCTTTTGGATGAATTGCAATCCTTGGCAGAAGGTATGAACTGATGAATAAGGCAGGCACCAGTGTCCACACACCCTGTTCCTGGTGGGGACTGGGAGCCACTCTTGCCATGCCTGTGCCTTCTCCATGGTGCCAGCTTCCATAGGCTGGCTCCTGGTGCTGGTTGGAGGAGTATCAACCCCTCCCTATGTGGATGGAGCCTGGTGGTGGCATCATCATCCCACCCTTGCTGATCTCAGGGTAGCCAACCTTCTCCTTGTTTGGTTTCTTTAATTAATTAATTAATTATGGAGACAGAGTCTCACTCCTTCACCCAGGCTGGAGTGAAGTGGTGTGGTCTAGGCTCACTGCAACCTCTGTCTCCTGGGTTCAAGTGATTCTCCTGCCCTCAGCCTCCTGAGTCGCTAGGATTACATGCACCTGCCACCATGCCTGGCTTTCCTTGGGTTGTTTCTTAACTTGTCCTTGACCTGGGTTCCAGTGTTGGTTTCCTGTTGCTGCTGTAGAAAATTATCAGAAGCATGGCAGCAGGAGAGACCACACTGACACCTTCCAGTACTGGAGACAGAAATTGGACCCTATTTTTCCTGGGCTAAAATCAAGGCATCTGCAGGGCTTTGTTCCCTCTGGAGACTCTGGAGAATCAGTTCCTTGACTTTTCCAGCCTCTATAGGCCACCTGCATTCATGGATCTTGGCCTTCCTCCACCTTCAAAGCTGGTGAAGACTTCCACTGGACTGCTCTAATCCCCACTCCCCTCTTCCTCCTCCTTTCATGTGCACCCTTGTGATTACACTGAGCCCAGTGGGACAGTCCAGGCTGTCTCCCCATGAGCTCCATCTTCCCCTTCAGTCCCTTCCCCTATAACATAAATAGTCACAGACTCCAGGGATTAGAATGTAGTCATCACTGGGGACAATTATTCTTCCCACCACAGCACCCATTTCCCTGTATTCAATCCCCCTTTACCACAAATACAGTCAGGGCCTGCGTGATGGGACCCTCAAGGACATGCCCAACAGAAGCTCTGGGATTCAGGAGGTGGGACAAGGAGAATCCAAGACAGGAGCCCTCTGACCTATGACCACGATCACCAGGGGGTTGCTGGGTGCTGACCACCCACTGGGGGAGTGTGTGTGTGAACCCCGACATCTGTATGTCCCTGTGTGTGCGGGGGTCACAGGGCCCATGAAAAGGCTGTTCCAGAATATTCTGTTGTAGAGCTCAGGGACAGGCACCCCACCTTCCTTTTACAGACTGAAGTTGTTAAACCCAAGATAAGAGTGACACCGAAGAATGACATGTCCTAGAGGCACCACAAGGCTGGGCCAGGCAGACAGCAAGGGCTTGTCCTGACCACCTTGGGGAGAAGGAGGCGCCGCCTTAGAGAGGAGGATGTGGAACTGCCCTTCCCTCCCTGTGCTCAGAAGATTCTCCTCGCTTTCCACGTTTCTATGGCTACTATCACACCTTGGTGCCCAGGGCTGAAGGAAGGACCCATCCCGCAAAGACATGGTGTCTCCCTACAACAAAAGCCTCAGCTGAGAACTTTGAGCAAGTGCTGAGTAAAGAGACTCCTACTAGATTTTAATACTGTAAGATTACTCACATAAAACAACACAGGGTAGACATGAGGTGGAGGGCATGTCCTTTGTGAATGGATATCAGCGGATGCCTGAACGAAAATAAACAACTGAGCCCCCATCAGAGGATTTGGAATGTCAGGGCCATGGCTGTGGTTTCCCACCTCTTCTGGTAGAATGACAGCAGCCACACTGCAGCCCCTACCATCATGGAAACGCTGAAGTGTGTGAGTAACACCTTTGTCCTCAGAGGATCTGCTGTTCCTACCACTTCCCAACCACACACCCCAGCTTTGAGCACCCCAGTCTAACCCTGGTCCCCACAGAACTTGACTCTGCCAAGGGGTTGAGAGGCCAGGGAGGCGAGGTCAGAAATGTGGGCTGAGCACCCCAGGGTCCTCTCTTCCTAGTTTATGAGAGACTCCCCGACAGGACTTCCCTCCTGTTTCAGGAAAATCCTCTTATGTGGGGAGATGACACCCGAAGGTTTGGAGAAGGACTCACCCTCATGTGGCCAGGCCCCCTGCAGCAAGAAGAACCCTGGAAAGAAAGATCATGATGGACCATCCATCTGCAGGCAAACCAGGCCTCCCTTGCTGCCCCCACTGGGCTGTGAGTCTTGGCAGCCAGGCCCTTCCTGGGCTGAAGTTAAACTCACCCTCAGTGCCTACCTGCACCCAAGAACAGGGCTGTCGGCTGTGCAGAGACCCAGTTTCCAGGCCCATATCCCCACCCCAAGCCCATATCTCCACTCCAGGCTGATATTTCCACCCTAGGCCCATATCGCCAATCCAGGCTCAGATCTCCACCCTAGGCCCCTATCTCCAATCCAGTCCCATATCTCCGCCCCAGGCCCAGATCTCCACCCTAAGCCCATATCTCCACTCCAGGCCCATATCACCTCTCCAGTCCCATATCTCCACACCCAGGCCCATATCTCCTTCCTAGGCCCATATCTCCACTCCAGGCCCAGATATCCATCTCTAGGCCCATAACTCCACTCCTGGCCCATATCTCCACTCCAGGCCCATATCTCTACTGCAGGCCCGTATCTCCACCTCCAGACCCATATCTCCACTCCAGGCCCATATCTCCACCTCCAGGCCCATATCTCCACCTCCAGGCCCATATCTCCACTCCAGGCCCATATCTCCACTCCAGGCCCCTATCTCTACTGCAGGCCCATATCTCCATCTCCAGGCCCATATCTCCATCTCCAGGCCCATGTCTCCACTACAAGCCCATATCTCTACTGCAGGCCCATATCTCAACCTCCAGGCCCATATCTCCACTCCAGGCCCAGATCTCCACTCCAGGCCCAGATCTCCACTTCTAGGCCCATCACTCCATCTCTAGGCCCATAACTCCACTTCCAGGCCTATATCTCCAACTCTGGGCCCCGATCTCCATCCCCGCACTCCCTCCCTCGATGCCCTTCCAGGACTCACCAACACACACCATGCTGACGACCATGAGCGACATGGTGCTGTCTGTGCAGACAGGCGGCCGCGCCCCAGCTCAGCTCAGCAGCGCACAGGATGTTATTTGGCGCCCTGCCCATGCAGTTTACATGTTGACCACATCATGGGAGGGTGACGTACGCAGGCTCTTTCTACCTTGCATGAGGCCCAGTGGGTGCTCGCTCAAGAGCGGAACATGGCTTCCTGGAAATTGTTCTCACTAGAATTGACACCTTGCGTCCTTCACTACGACCAGACTCAAAAGACGTCTCAGATCCAACCTCTCATACACGAGATGATTGAATTCTGTGCTTACATTAAAGATTTTTGATGTATTTTTGTTTTTATCTGAGATTCAAACTCTTCTTCATATGTAATGTGCAAAATGTCTAACAGGTATTATTAACATTATCAGAGTAATTGTGACAAGAAGCCATTCTAATTTTCCTGCTTGAGTTTCTAGTACTAAACCAGAGGCATCAGAATAGCTTGAACCTGGGAGACGGAGGTTGCAGTGAGCTGAGCTCAAGCCACTGAACTCCAGCTTGGGTGACAGAGGAAGAGTCTGTCTCAAGAAAAAAAAAAAAAGCAAACTAAATAACCTATAATAACAAATCAGAGGACTCAGGTTACCAAATTTTAAGGGGTTCTATAAGTTTATATAAAATGCAGCATCCTCATGAGAGGGGATACAGAGAACCACTGGACAGAAAACTGTGTCTAAAATACATCTGTGGATACACAGTCCCTTTATAGTTGACAAAGGCTGCCATGTAGTTTAAGGTGGAATAGAATATTTTCTCAACAAATAACACAGGACCATAGGGTTACACGTAGGAAAAAATAAATCTAAACTTATCCTCACACTATAAAAACACTTCTTATTTTTTATCTTGTTGTTGTAAATTTTTTATGCTTTATTTTTAAGATTGACAAATAAAAATTATATACCATGGTCCTTCACTATACCTGGGTGATTGGTTCCAGGATCCCCATTCAGATACCAAAATCTGCAGATGCTCAAGCCCCTTGCATGAAATGGCATAGTGAAGCTGGGCACCGTGGCTCACGCCTGTAATCCCAGCACTTTGGGAGGCTGAGCTGGGTAGATCACAAGGTCAGGAGTTCAAGACCAGCTGGTCCAACATTCTGAAACCCCATCTCTACTAAAAATATACACACAAAAAAATTTATCTGTGCAGGGTGGCACGTGCCTGTAATCCTAGGGGAGGCTACTGGGGAGGCTGAGGGAAGAGAATCGCTTGAACCTGGAAGGCGGAGGTTGCAGTGAGTTGAGATCACGCCACTGCACTCCAGCCTGGGTGAGAGAGTGAGACTGTCTCAAAAAAAAAAAAAATAGCATAGCAATTGCATAGAACCCATGCACATCCTCCTGTATACATGAAATCATCTCTTGATTACTTATAATTCCTGACACAGCCTACACGCCACTCAATTTGTGTCGATTCAACATAGTTTTTTGCTTTTTGAAACTTCGGGGATTTTTTTTCTCAAAATATTTTTGATTTATTGCTGATTCAATAAACATGTGTAAACCCCAGAGATATGGAGGAGTGACTGTCTATTTATAGTAGTATGAAAGATGATGTGTTGATACGTGTCCCTGTGGAGATGAGACTAACAAGGCCTATGACTCTACAAATGTTTCATCGTGGAATGACTCTGCCAGCTTTCCAGATCTGCAGAGAGTAAGAATATCACTTGTTCATCTGATTCACCATCCTTGGAACCTCCTATGTGCTGCATCTTTGGATGGAAATTGGAGTCTCAGAGACAATTCAGGCTCCACCCTGCTTCCAGAAGCTCAGAGTCCAGGGGTGAGAACCCAGCGGAGAACAGATGGGGTTATGTGGACGTGGTAATGATAACACCGGAAGCCTTAGGCAAGAAAAGAGTCCCATTGACGAAACCATGAGGGCAGACATGTTTACTTGAAGAAGAGAAAACTACATTGAAATTATAAAAAAAATTTATAAGTTTTACTGCTGACAGAAGGCTGAAAGATACTCTGAGGAAAGGTGGAATAGCACGTATCTAAGTGCCGTGTTAAGAGGGAGCCTCTTATATGTTTGGAATTGTGAGTTCCTCAGTGTGATCGCAGCCTCAAGTAGACTAGGAAGTAAGCCAGTTAGGTTGGAGAGGTGGGCAGGGGTCAAGTGAAATGGAGAATTGTGGGCTAAGCAAGTGTGTTTTCTCTCCAGCAGGCAGTGGGGACCTTAGACATTTGTAAGCAAGAGAGAGGCATGTTCAGATTCGTGGTGTGAGGAAGAGCGATGCCCTAAGATGCAGACTCACGCCTTCAGAGTCCAGCTGCTGGTACATGGGAGCTGGCAACCCGGTTTTGAGACAGGGCTATTGTCTCCCTAGAAGATCCCATCAAGGCCTGACTGTGGTGCTAGTGGACAGAAGACAACTTTGGATCTGCGCTCAGCATTTGGAAGTTCCGTGTTACACGCTGGTATCTGTTGGGGGTGTCTTGGGCCTCTGAGAAGGGCGAGTGATTTTTCTCTGTGTGAAAACGCAGTGATTCAACTGTGCGTATGTCACCTCCTGAGGGTCTTGTTCATCAGAGTCCTGGAGGGAGGGAAATGCTGAGTGAGGGAGGGTGCTCACATTTTCCAGGACTCTTTGGGAATAAGACTAGCCACGAGGCTGGGCGGAGGAGCACCTACCTCCCTGTTCACTGTTCTGTTCCCTGCAGGCTCTTGGTCCATTACAACAGCATCTGTAGAAGACGGAAGTCGTCAAAACAGCTCGGAGGGCACTTCTGGGTCCTCATTTCATAAGCAGATACCAACATACAGGGGGAGGCCATAGGTGCCTGAGGTCCCTCAGTTGCCAACAGCAGACTCAGACATTCTATCTCTCTGAGCTCAAGGATCCATCCCATGTATAGCTCTGAGTTCCCATCCTATTGATTCTGTGTCCCACTTTCTGCCTGTCATGGAACCTTCTCCTGGATGTGAGTGGCTGCAGGGGATGTGAGGATACGGTTCAGAATCAGGCAATGGTCTGTGAGCTGAAGGCAGAGGCAGGGAGTCTGGTGCTCTCTCTAGAAAGTCCTGCCTCTGTGGCTCCTGCCTTGGGCCAGGGACCATCCTGCCTGTGAGGAACACACACCTGAGTGCTCCCATCCTGCTTCCCCACATGGCCCTGAGCTCTCTGGCTTCTGCTTCGTGAGACTTACTCTTTTTGTTGGCACACCAGCGATGAAGGAGAAAGAAGAGGAGGATAGCAAAGGGGATGATGACCACTGAGGTCCCAATCAGAACGTGCAGGTGTCTGGAGTTACCTGGAGGAAGACAAGACACCAATAAGAAGCTAATCATAGCAGTTCCTCTATATGAATTGTCTCACATTTCTTGATTGACAGGTAACCACATACAACGTCTCTTTAGGACAAGCACCCAGATGGCGGGAGACCTAGCTTCCTCCTGCTTTCTCAGTTGTAGTAACCATAGAACGTGCTGAGGATACAACTGCTTTAGTTTAGATGTTTGACCCCTTCAAACCTCACATTGAAATGTAACCCCCAGGGTGGGAGGTTGGGCCTCTTGGGAGTTGTTTGGGTCATGGAGGTGGATCCATCATGAACAGATCAATGCTGTTCCAAGGAGACGGGGTTAGCAAGTTCCCCCTCTATTAGTTCCTGGAGAACTGGTTGTTAAAAGAGCTTGGAAGCTCCATCGCTCCCCCTCCCCCTTGGTCCCTCTCTTGCCGTGTGATCTCTGTGGTCTCTGCACAGACAGACCCTCCTTCCCTTCTGCCAGAGTGGGAGCAGCCTGAGGCCGTCACAAGAAATAGATGCTGGTGCCATGCTTCCAGTACAGCCTGCAGAACTGTGAGGCAAACACATTTCTTTTCTTTAGAAGTTACCCAGGCTCAAGTGTTCCTTTAGAGCAACAAAAATGGACTAAGACAGCAACGTCCTGAGATCAGGAGGAACATCCCAGAACAGCCTGGGCTGTCTTCCTGTTCTTCCTGGAGGAGGACGTCATGCAGTGCTTTAGCTGAGTGCTTCCTGTGGCTCCAGGGTACAAAACCCAGGCTGGGCTGCTTTTTGATTTCCCCCAGATACACTGCATATGGGGTGACTCCACATGTCTCGAGCAGCTTTTCTGAGCCTTGAGGGACTGGCTCACATTGAAATGTAGGTTTCTGTTGTCACTCGCTGCTTATCTGTTAGTAATGAACCTGCCTGTGTAATGTGTTCTCTGTGTGTTCTGTCTCCCTGGAGTGACGGTGAGTGATAGGAATTGGTATAGGCCCAGGTGCATTCCAGGAGGTGTTTAGAATCTTCTCTGGGAAGACTGGATTGGGATTGATACACAGCGAATGTGCTTTACAGTTTCTACCACCACAACCCTCTTGACTCAAAAAAAATTACATTCTCCAAGAAAAGAAAGAAAAAATGAAATCAAGATAAAAAAAGTGAAGTAGAACTGACTTAAATCAAACAGCCATGAAATAATGATGTAGCCCAGGAACAACATGCTACTTTTTGTGATCTGCTGAGACATATATTAGGCTGCTATTCCACCCGAGAAGCACGGGGAAGGACCGCCCTCTCCGTCGTTTATTGTTTCAATACAGCCTGTCCTTCTGTGAGTTAGTACGAAATGTGACCAGGGGCTAGTGCTGGCACTGGTCTCTGAGTCCAAGATCTGAGCTCACTCCAAAGAGTATTAGTGTTTACCTCCCCATGATCTATCTGTATCTCCATAGGTGATTGGAAGTAGAGATGAATTGGGGGATTTGGGTGAAGGGGCAAGTTTTATGCCATGAACAGAGCACGTTCTCTATTCCAGGACCTGTGCTGGTGGGTTCAGGAGGCTTTCACATTTTCCATATGATCCCAAGCTCACAGAAAGCCAAATAAGGAAGAGGTTTAACCTGATTGTTTAATGGATAAGATAAAGGGTCAAAGAATTAAACACAGAGAAATAGAAAAATGATGGTTGGTATCCAGTTGCCTTTGTAATTTCTGTGTGTCATATTATAATTATGTATGTTTTATTTTTATTTTTTGAGACAGAGTCCCCCTGTGTCAGGCTGGAGTGCAGTGATGCGATCTCAGTTCAACCTCTGCCTCCAGGGTTGAAGCCATTCTTCTGCTTCAGCCTCCCCAGTCGCTGGGATTACAGGCAGGTGCCAATGCACCAGGCTAATTTTTGTATTTTTAGTACAGACGGGGTTTCACCATGTTGGCCAGGCTGGTCTCAAACTCCTACCCTTAAGTGATCTACCCGCCTTGGCCTCCCAAAGTGTTGGGTTACAGGTGTGAGCCCCCATCCACAGTCTTGTATATTATATTATACTAGGTCCCTTCATTTGCACCACCCCTCATGTGTCTATCGCTCCTCTGCCAGGTATGGATTTAGATGTAGAAAAAAAACACATCTCAGAAAGAAATTAATGAAACAAGGATTAAACTACTAGGAAAAATCAAACCCAGCAAGCCCTCCCTGCAAATGATTCTACCTCACAAGCATAGCTTATATCCATCTTTCATTCATTTAGTGTGTAAATCAACCCTACGTTTCACCAGTGGGGCGGGAATTGCCTTTTCCACGGTCTCCTAGATTCCAGTTACGCACCTGGGCCTCCCTTATTTTCATGTCGGTCACTGTTAATCAGGTAGGGATTCCTAGTTAGCTCTGAGTTGAATCCAAGGGCTGTGAGTATCAAAAACATGCTCCTTGTTCCTCCTTAGTTTCCTGTGTACCCAGTGTGCTCTCCATCTCTCTACAGTTGTCTTGTCATTCTCCCCATCTCATTCCCAGCATTTGAGGCAGAGCCTCTTCCTTGAACTAAGAATGTTTCCACCTTTGTGCCTTCACGGCTGAGAGCTCAGTGTGGAAAATCCTTCCGCCAATCTTCCAAGGGTTGAATCCATTTTTTCCATTAAGGTCACAAATATTATCTGATCAGTGAGACCTTCTCTGTCACCTGAAATTATATACTCAGCATTATCTATTACTTATTTTAAATCCTGGCTGGGCGCAGTAGCTCTCGCCTGTAATCTTTGCACTTAGGGACGCTAAGGCGGTGGGATCACTTGAGATTGGGAGTTTGAGACAGCCTGCACAACATGGTGAAACCTCATTTCTACTAAAAAATATACCAAAAAAATTAGCCGAGTGTGGTGGCGCACAGCTGTAATCCCAGCTACTCGGTAGGCTGAGGCAGGAGAATTGCATGAACCCAGGAGGCAGAGGTTGCAATGAGCTGAGATTGTGCTACTGCACTCCAGCCTGTGGAACAGAGAGAGACTCTACTCAAAAAAAAAAAAGAAAACAAAAAAAACACACACACACAAAAAACCCCAGATTTGGTGCACAGATGCTTCCCAATGGATCATTCATTTATTGGTACCCTTGTGCATTCATTCTCTGCCCTCGCATTTACCCATCTGCAATATCAGCGTCCCAAGAGCAGAGGCCAAATGCATCCTGTTTACCATTTGTGGAAGGCAGGAGAATGCTGCCCCACCCCCAAAATGTCCCTGTCTTAGCCTCCATAGCTTGTGAATATGTTATTTTACAGGAAAGGAGGAATGAAGATTGCAGATGGCATTACGGTTGCTAATCAGCTGAACTTAAAAAGAGGGTACGCTGGATGATTTTAGGGAGATTGAGATGGATTATCTTGGTGACCCCAATAGAATCCCAAAGTCCTTAAAAGATGAGGAAGAAGGCAGAGCAGGATTCAGAGAAAAAGGTATGGGTAAAGAAGAAGAGTCTGAATGATGCCATGTGAGACGTGACCAGCCTTTGTGGGCTTTGAGGAAGGAGGAAGGAGGAAGGGGACCAGGGGCCCAGGAACGTGGGAGCCTCTAGGAGCTGGGAAACGTTAAGGAGCAGATTCTTGCTTGGAACCTTAAAAAGAAATCCAGCCTTACTCTCCCTTTGATATCAGCCCAGTGAAATGCAGTTCATACTTCTGAGTTACAGCACTGTGAGATAATTAAGAAAAACATGTTTTCATCCACGAAGCTTGTGGAAATTTGTTATGGCAACAATAGGAAAAGATTCCACACTGCACAGCCAGAGCATGGGGCATTGGCTGAACGAGTGAGTGAGTGGAAGTGTCGTGTGCATAAATAAGCTAAATTCTCTCTTACTGCACGTCTCTTGCTCTGCTGAGTCAACCAGGGTTGCATCTGGTACACTGCTGATACGAATGTAAATTAGTACAGCCATTACAGAGGAGAAGAGTATGGAAGTTCCTCAAAAAATAAAATGAGGTCGGGCACAGTGGTTCATGCCTGTAATCCCAGCACATTGGGAGGCCGAGGTGGGTAGGTCACTTGAGGTCAGGAGTTGAAGAGCAGCCTGGCCAATATAGCGAAACTCTGTCTCTACTAAAAATATAAAAATTAGCCGAGTGTGGTGGTGGGAGCCAGTAACCCAGCTACTTGGGAGGCTGAGGCTGGGGAATCTCTTGAATCCTGGAGGTGGAGGTTGCAGTGAGCCCAGATGGCACCACTGCACTCCAGCCTGGGCAACAAGAGTGAAACTGTCTAAAAAAAACAAAAACAAAAACAAAAACCATAAAACAAAATGTAAAAAGACACTTCCAGAGGATCTAGCAATTCCATGACTGGGTGTAAACCCAAAGGAAAGGACATCAGCGTATCGAAGTGACATCTGCACTCCCATGACTGTTCCAGCAGTGTTCACAGTAGCCAAGATGTGGATCAACCTACCCGCCCATCAGTGGGTGAATGGATGGAGAGAATGTGGTACACACACACAATAGGGACAACTCATCCATAGAAAGAGTAACATCCTGTCATTTACAGCCACATGAATGGAACTGGAGGTCATTACAAGTATTTCCATTTCTCACTCATATGCAGGAGCTAAAAGGTGGATCTCACAAAGGTAGAGAGTAGAATGGTGGCTACCAGAGGCCAGGAAGGGAAGGGTGGAGGGTAAAAAAAAAAGAATACTAATTAATTAATTAATTAATTTTGAGAGAGTGTCTCTCTCTGTTGCCCAGGCTGCAGTGCAGTGGCATGATCTCAGCTCACTGCAACCTCCGCCTCCTGCAATTAAGTGCAACTCCTGCCCAACCCTCCCAAGTAGCTGGGACTACAGGCATGTGCCACCATGCTCGGCTAATTATTATCATTATTATTATTATTTTGTATTTTTAGTACAGATGGATTTTCCCCATGTTGGCCAGGGTGGTCTTGAGCCCCTGATCTCAAATGATCCACCTGCCTTGGCCTCTCAAAGTGTTGGGATTACAACCGTGAGCCACCGTGCCCAGCCTATAAATGTATTTATGAACAGTAGACTTCACACTTAAAAATGGTAAAGGTGGTAAATTACATAGGTATATTTCACCTCAATAAATATTTCTTCAAACAAAAAGAAAAGGGTGTAGGCGTTGCTGGTGATGACATCTCTCTGTGGGTGACAGGCCAGGATGGGCTTCTGGGAAGTGGGTAAGGTTGAGGGGCTGAGAGAACCTCTGATCTCCCCAGGCAGAGCCCAGTCTCCCTCCTCTGGGTCTGTTCTGACCTCTTTCTCCATCTGCCTGGGTGCCTGGAACCCTGATCAAGGGCCTCCTTGCAGGCCATACAGGAGGGTTTGGAGGTGCCCTGTCTGCCATCCTGCGCCCTGACCCCGCCCTTACACCCATGCTGTGTGTTCTGTCTCGGCATCTGTCCATGCTTCTCTCCATCATCAGCAGGAAGCTCCTCAGCTATGGCTCTAGGATCACAAGACATGGGACAGGCATGGTGTTTTCTCACCTGTGACAGAAACGGGCAGTGGGTCACTCGGGTCTGACCACGCGTGGGGCAGGGCACGGAAAGAGCCGAAGCATCTGTAGGTCCCTCCGTGGGTCACAGGGCCCAGAGGGAAGTTGGCCTGGAATGTTCCATTGACCCTCAGCACCGCAGTGAGCCTAAGTTCACCGGCCTCTGCCTCCCTGGATAGATGGTAAATGTCAAACAAGCTCCGGGAGCTGCAGGACAAGGTCACATTCTCTCCTGCCTGAACCGTGGGGCCCGGCTGGGCTGAGAGAGAAGGTTTCCCATATAGACCTGGAAGAAGAAGAGGTGGTTTCCTCAGGGAGGTTCTTCCTTGTCACAGCTCTCCTCACACCTGAGCTGAGAACTCACTCCCCTGCTCTATGACTTAATGCTCTCTTTCTCTCTCTCACCCTCCACCCCCATCTCTCTTCATGTCTATTTCCTCCTTCCACCTTCTCTGTCTCTCTAGGTCTCTGACCTCACTTCTCCATCCCTAGCTATGTTTTCTTTTTTTGTACCATTTTATTCTCTCTGACCCTCCTTGGACTGGTTGACTTGATCTTCCTCTTTCTTTAATTCTGAGTCTCTCACTTTCTGTCTTGCTCATAACTTTCTGCATATTTCTATCTACTATCTATTGATCGATCTATCATTTATCTATGTATGTATCTATCATCTATCATCATCTGTGTATCTATGACCTATCTCTCTGTTATCTATCATCTATCAATCAATGTATGTATGTATGCATCTATCCATCTATCATCATGTGTTTATCTGTCTTTCTATCTCTCTATATCTATTTATATATCATCTGTCTGTCTTTCTACTTGTCTATCTATATCATCTATCAGTCATTCATCATCTATTTGTCTATCACCTGTCTCTCTATTATCTATCATATACCTTTTATCTTTCATCTATCTATATCTATCTATCCATCTATCATCTGTCTCTCTCCATCTCCTTGTCTTTCTCTGCCTCTCAGTCTCTCTAGTTCCCTTTTGGAGTCTCTGCAATCCATCCCCACATCTTTATCTTTCCCTGTCTTTGTGCCCCTCCCTCAGGGCTCTGATTTTAGGGCTTTTCTCTGCTTCCTTCCATCATACGCTCCACTTCTCTGCCCTCTTTTTCTGTCTCTTTATGTGTCTGTGAGTCTCTCAATTCCCTTCTTCTGGCTCATTCTGTGTGTGTGTTCATGTCTTTGCTTTTTGATTTCCCTGATTTCACTCCGTGTCTCTCTGTGGGCTTTTGTTCTCAGTAATCCTATAACATGTGGTGCTATTTGAATATGAGCCTCAGAATCCAGTATGGGGACTCCAGGAACTCACAACATACAGGGGTTGGTGTTCTGCTCCCTCACCTGGGGCCATGGTGTCCTGGGACGATGACAGCTCCACTGCACGGAAGGCAGAGGTTTAAGAATAAACACAGCATCTGTAGGTGCCACCAGCCTGGGGCCACACGGCCCAACTCAGGCCAGATAGATGTGTCTCTTTGGGTTCTCCTGGGAGAGAACACTTTGTAGAGGTAAAACAGAATGGAACCTTCTAACCTGTGCCTGGTCTCTGAACAAAGTCAGCATAGAAGGACACCTCTCTCTGGGATATATCTGTCTCTCTGTGTCTTCTTTACCTCTTTATCTCTTTTTCTAACACCTTGTATGGCCCCTGTGTCTGGCTTCTATGTTATGACATGAGGTCTGTACTTGTGTCTCCTGTTTCTCTGCCTTTGTTGGTACAGACCTCACCAAGTCACTTTCTCTCCATAGGAACCCCACACTCATCTTCCTCATGACCACCTGGGGCTTCCAGTCCTAGATCATTCACTCCATCTCCCAGCAAGGGTGAGAGGCAGGTCTGTATTCTCTCACCTACGACCACGATGTCCAGAGGGTCACTGGGAGCTGACAACTCATAGGGTAAGTGAGTGACAGAACCAAAGCATCTGTAGGTCCCTGCAAGGGCAGGTGTCATGGGACCCATGGAATAGTTGACCTGGGAACCCGCATCGTGGAGCTGTCCAACGAGGCGCAAGGGGTCCTCAGTGATCCCCTCTCTGTGCAGAAGGAAGCGCTCAAAACTGACATCTGACCAACATTGCAGGATGACCGTCTCTCCCGATTTCACCAGGGGACCTGGGTGGGCCAGGAGGGAAGGTTTTCTGTGGACTCCTAAGAAGAGAGGTTGTGAGTTCAGAAGGCGTCTCCCTTTCTCATCCCATTCATGGGACCTGAAATAAGTGAGGCTTCCCCTCCATGGTGTCTATCTCTCTCCTTCCTCTCTGTGTCTCCGTGTTCTTTTGTGCCCATAACCCCTGTTGCAGGTCCCTCCATCTGTCTCCCTCCCTCTTCCCTGTCTCTCTGTCTCTAGTAGCCCTGATTCCCTTCCCACTGTGCTCAGTGTCACCTCTTAGGCTGTTGTATCTGTTTCCCACTAATCTCTTTCCTGTGTTTATGTAGGGGTGGAAGAGGAACCACGACAGGCTGCATGTCCAGGCTCTTAGCAGCCTGAATCAATCTCTTTTGGACAGATTGGAAAGGCTGGCAGGAGGTACGAACTCATCAGTAAGGCAGGCATCAGTGTCCCTGTTCCTGATGGGGATTGGGAGCCTCTCCTGTCATGTCTGTGCCTTCTCCATGGCCCCAGCTTCCATAGGGTGGCCCCTGGTGCTGGTTCCAGGAGCATCAACCCCTCCCTATGTGGATCGAGCCTGGTGGTAGCATCAGTATCCCACCCATGCTAAAATCAGTGTAGCCAACCTTCTCCTTGTTTGGTTTCTTAACTTGTGCTTCACCTGGGTTCCTGTGTTGGTTTCCTGTTGCTGCTGGAGAAAATTGTCACAAACATGGGGCAGGAGAGAATACAATGACCCCTTCCACTTCTGGAGAACAGAAATCGGACCCAGTTCTCTCTGGGCTAAAATCAAGGCATCTACAGGGCTGTGTTTCCTCTGGAGACTCAGGGAAGAATCAGTTCCCTTGACTTCTCCAGCCCTTAGAGGCCAACTGCCTTTGTGGCTCATGGCCTTCCCCCATCTTCAAAGCCCGCTGTGGCTGATGGAGTCTCCCTCCCACGACGTTGCTCTAACCCCACTTTCCTCTTCCTCCTCCTCTCATGAGGACCCTTGTGATTACTCTGAGCACAGCAGGACAGTCCAGGCTGTCTCCCCATCGCAAGGTCAACTCATCAACAACCTGAGCTCCATCTTCCCCTTCAGTCCCCTGCCCTATGACATAAATAGTCACAGGGTTCATGGATTACCATGTAGCCATCACTGGGGACAATTATTCTTCCCACCACAGCAACTATTTCTCTGTACTGAATCCCCCTTTACCCCAAATACAGCCAGGGCCTGGATGATTGGACCCTGATGGACACCCCCACCAGAAGCTCTGGGATTCAGGAGGTGGGACAGTGAGAAGCCCAGACAGAAAGCCTCTGACCTGTGACCATGATCACCACAGGGTTGCTGGGTGCCGACCACCCAGTGGGGGAGTGTGGGTGTGAACTGCAACATCTGTAGGTCCCTGCATGTGCTGGGGTCACAGGGCCCATGAGAAAGCTGTTCCGGAATATTCTGTTGTAGAGCTCAGGGACAGGCATCCCGTCTTCTTTGGACAGACTGAATTCTTTAAACCCAAGACGAGAGCGACACTGAAGAGTCACATGTTGTCCTTCAGACACCACAGTGCCGGGCCAGGCAGAGAGGAAGGGCTTGTCCTGACCACCTGGGGGAGAAGGAGGCACTACCTTAGAGAGGAGGATGTGGAGCCGCCCCTCCCTCCCTGTGCTCAGAAGATTCTCCCATTTCCACGTTTCTAAGGCTCCTACCACACCTGGGTGCCCAGGGCTACAGGAAGGACCCATCCCGCATAGACATGGCGTCTCCCTACAGCAAGTGTCAGCTGAGAACTTTGAGCAGGTGCTGAAGAAGCGACTCTTACTAGATTTTAACACTGCAAAATTACTTACATAAAAGAACACAAGGTAGACACAGGATGGAGGGCATGATCAGCTAATGCATGAACCATAATAAACAACTGAGCCCCTATTAGAAGATCTGGAATGTCAGGGTCATGACTGTGGTTCCCCCACCTCTTAGGTAGAATGACAGCAGCCACATTGCAGCCCCTACCGTCATGGAAACGCTGGAGGGTGTGAGTTATGCTCTTGTCCTCAGAGGCCTGTTGTTCCTTGCACTGCTTCTCTCCCTTCCTCTGCCGGTGACACCACTTCCTCCCTGCACACCACTCCTTTGAGCACTTCAGTCTCCCCCTGGGTCCCCACAGACTCAGCCAAGGGAAAGAAAGGCCGGGGAGGGCTAGGACAGAACTGTGGCGAAGCTTCCCCTGGCTTCCTTTTCCTAGTTCATGAGAGATTCCCACATGGCTTCCCATGGTCAGCCCATCAGTCAACCCCCTGTGTCGCCTGCCTCCCGTTTCAGGAACATCATCTTATGTGGGGAGATGACAACCTAAGGTTTGGGGGAAGGACTCACCCACATGTGGCCAGGGCCCCTCCAGCAAGAAGAACCCTGGAAAGAAAGATCATGATGGATGATCCATCTGTACATCACCTCCAGGCCCATATCTCCACTCCAGGCCCATATCTCCACCTCCGTCCTATATCTCTACTCCAGGCCCATATCTCCACTCCAGGCCTATATCTCCACCTCTGTCCTATATCTCTACTCCAGGCCCATATCTACACTCCAGGCCCATATCTCCACCTCCAGGCCTGTATCTCCACCTCCAGGCCCGTGTCTCCATTCCAGGCCCATATCTGCACTCCAAGCCAACATCTCCACTCCAGGCCCATATCTCTACTCCAGGCCCATATCTACAGTTCCAGGCCCATATCTCCACCTCCAGGCCCATATCTCCACTCTAGGCCCATATCTCCACCTCCAGGCCCGTATCTCAATTCCAGGTCCATATCTGCACTCCAAGCCAATATCTCCACTCCAGGCCCATATCTACAGTTCCAGGCCCATATCTCTACTCCAGGCCCATATCTCTACTTCAGGCCCATATCTACAGTTCCAGGCCCATATCTCCACTCCAGGCCCATATCTCCACCCCAGGCCCATATCTCCACTCCAGGCCTATATCTCCACTCCAGGCCCATATCTCCACTCCAGGCCCATATCTCCACTCCAGGCCCAGATCTCCACCCCACCGCTCCCTCCCTCGATTCCCTTCCAGGACTCACCAACACACGCCATGCTGACGACCATGAGCGACATGGTGCTGCCGGTGCAGACAGGCGGCTGCGCCCCAGCTCAGTTCAGCAGCACACAGGATGTTGTGAGGGGCTCATGCAGTTTACATGCTGACCACATCATGGGAGGATGACGTATGCAGGCTATTTCTACCTTGCATGAGGCCCAGTGGCTGTTTGGTCAAGAGCAGAACATGGCTTCCTGGAAATTGTTCCAACTAGAATTGACACCTTGCATCCTTCACTATAACCAACTCAAAACACGTCTCAGATCCAATCTCTCATACAGGAGATGACTGAATGCTTGGCTTACATTAAAGACTTTTGATGTATTTTTGTTGTTTTTATCTGAGATTCAAACTCTTCTTCATGTGCTATTTTCCCCAGGCTGTTCTTTGACTTCAGAGTTCAAGCAATCCTCCTGCCCCAGCATTTCTAGCAGCTGGCAGTATGTCACAATCTGCCACACCCAAGTCACAACTTTTAGAACTTTTTTTTTTTTTGAGACGCAATCTCACTTCGTCACCCAGTTTGGAATGCAGTGGTGAGACCTCGGCTCATTGCAGCCTCCACCTCCCAGGTTCACGCAATTCTCGTGCCTCAGCCTCCTAAGTAGCTGGATTTACAGGCACCCACCATCACGCCCACCTAATTTTTGTACTTTTAGTAGAGAGGAGGTTTCTCCATGTTGGCCAGGCTGGTCTTGAACTCCTAACCTCAAGTGATCTGTCTACTTCAGCCTCCCAAAGTGCTGAGATTACAGGTGTGAGCCACCATGCCTGGCCGGGACATTCTATATGTGTGCGTATGTGTGCGTTTATATACATATGGTTATACACACACACACACACACACACCCTAAGCACTCACATATATAGTTGTTTCAAATTTTAAAAAATATAAATTTTGTATTTTTCTTTCTTTTTCTCACATTTGTGTTTCTATGACACCATATACATATTGAATTTTATAGTTCTATTTTATTCTTTTGGATTGCAGTTTAATAGTCCATACATAACTTTATCAACATGTAATTATCCACTCTTTTTATCATGGACATTTGTGTTGTTTCCGGATTTTCTCTTTTATAACTCGGGCCTTGATAATCGTGTTTCTGTGTGATCCCTTGCATACATATGCTGAATTAATTAGACATATTTACCTAGGAATGAAATTATTGGTTTTGGGTGCAAGTTGGTGTTGAGCTTAACCAGGAAGTGCCAAAATATTTCCATCATGACCAAATGTGGCCTGGAAAGTTTTTTGGGGTCAATTTTCCTGTTTCTTCTAAGGAACAAAATTGATGTCACTGATTTTTCTGTCCTGTTTGTCATTTATGAATATACGTACATATGCACGTATATATTTGCTTGCCATTTTATGTTTTTCCTCGACGTTACTTTGGAATTAATTTGCTGATGTGTAGTATTTCTGCAAGCGAAAGTTACCTATTTACTCAGCTCTTCCTTCTTTTCTAACACAGACATTTGAGGCTTATTTTCCTTTAACACTGTTCTATCTGTATCCCCAGTCATTTGCCGAGATGTGTTTTCATTTTTAATTGATACAAAATATTTTCCACCTTTCTTTGAAATGTTTTTCTTCCACTCATTGTTTATTGCTATGTGTGTTTATTAATTTTAAAATATTTGATAATTTCCCCAGCATTTCCTTGTTGTACATTTATAATTTAATTCAACTGTTTCATCTATCATATTACCTATGATTCAGCATTTAAAAATTTATTTTGGTGAATGTTCCAGGGGTGCTAGACAAGTTTGTGGATTAGGAAGATTTGAGGTGGATGTTTTCTAAATGTCAGTTAAGAAAAAAATCATTCAAATGTTTTTCTTTATTTAAAAAAAATAGAGACGGGGTCTCACTATGGTGCCCAGGCTGGTCTCAAACTCCTGGCCTCAAGTGATCCTCCCATTTTGGCCTCCCAAAGTGCTAGGATTATTGAAATTATTAAATGTTTCATATCAACACCCAACCTTATGCACCCGCCGCCTACACAAATGTTTTTCAAGTCTTTCATATGCTTAATAATTTTCTGTGTACTTGTTCTGGAAGTGAGGTGAATGTTGCTATCTCTAGCTGCAATTTGGATGTGATTGATTATGTTTTGAATTATGCCTTTAATTTAATGTGTTTTGAGGTTCCAGCTTTAGGTGTGTAGGCATTTAGGATTATTATGTCTTATTTATGAATTTGCCTCTTTGTCATTATGAAGTACTCCTCTTCATATCTCCATATATCTCTTCTTTGTATGTGCATGGTGAAATATTTCATTCTTTGAGTTAAGAAACTTCTATTGAGGAATACTTTTTATTACAAACATTTACCTATTCTATGTATACAACTGACTAGAAGCATATTTTGCACTGGGCATTATCATGACAATGTAATGTCATTCTTTCAATATTTACATCTTGTGGATTAGTATTTGAAGTGCAGCTTATGTAGACAGCATAAGGTTGGGTGTTGATATGAAACATTTAATAATTGCACACGTATTTGCCTCTTGGGATACTTCCACTTTTTTGAATTTCAAGTTACTAAATGGTATCATTAATCTTTGCTTCAAGAGCTTAACATTTATTGTAGAACAATGCTTCATGTAATAAATTGTGAGACATTTTTAATGGCACCTTTATTGCAGGAAAATGTTTTCCTTTTCAGGTTGAAAGATTCTAGTTTGAAATATTTTCTTGTAGCACTTTAAAAATGTTGGTCCACCTATTTCTTACTTTCATAGTTTTGAATACAAAGTTTGCTGTCATTCTTGTATTTCTTCTTCTGTTTTTTATTTATTTATTTTTGACAGAATATCTTGCCGTCTCACCCAGGCTGGAGTGCAGTGGCATGATCTTGGCTCACTGCAACCTCTGCCTTCCAGGTTTCAGCAATTCCTGCCTCAGCCTCCTGAGTAGCTGGGACTACAGGCATGCGCCACCATACCCAGCCAATTTTTTTTTTTGTATTTTTTTTTTGTAGAGATGAAGTTTTGCCATATTGGCCAGAACTCCTGACCTCAAATGATCCACCTGCTTTGGCCTCCCAAAGTGCTGGGATTACAGGTGTGAGCCACTGTGCTCAGGCTATTTATTCCTTTTTATATAATATGAATTCACATTCATACATACCAGGGGTTAGGATTTCAACAAACGTTTCTGGGGGAGACCACTCAAAACACAGCACTCATCCTTGGTTATTTCCAGCCATGGAGCCTGTATCAATATCCTGGTGAATTATCTAAGCTGTCCACCTACCTACCCCAAATCCTCATGGTCACATAAAAGGCTAGTATAGTATAATAATTTTTCTTTCCCTGCTTATCTACAGTGATGAAGAAACGAATATTCAAAGGGAAAAATCTTAGCTTTAGGTATAGGGTAATTCTTCTTCCTATTTTTAAATAACTTCAACCTTTACTGTAGATTAAAGGTATGCATGCAGGTTTGTTACATAGGCATATTGTGTGACTCTGAGGTTTGTGGTTCCAACAATGCCATCACCCAGGCAATGAGCATAGAATCCAACAGGTGTTTCTTCAGCCTATACCTCCCTACTCCTCCCCCCATCTGTAGTCCTCGGTATCTGTTGTTTCCATCTTTATGTTCATGTGTATTCAATGTTTGGTTCTCAGTTATAAGTGATAACATGTGGTATTTGGTTTTCTGTTCCTGGGTTAGTTCACTTAGGAGATTGACCTCCTGCTACATTCATGTTGCTGCAAAGGACATGATTTCATTATTTTTTATGGCCATGTAATGTTCCATGTGTATATGTAGCACATTTTCTTTAACTAATCCACTGTTGGTGAGCACTTAGGTTGACTGCAAATCTTTGCTATTCTGAATTGCACAGCAATGAATATACTAGTGCATGTGTCTTTTTGACATAGTTAATTACCTTCCTTTTGGTATATACCCAGTAGTGGGATTGCTTGATTGAATAGTAGTTCTATTTTAAGTTATTTGAGAAGTCTCCAAACTGCTTATCACATTGGCTGAACTAGTTAACATTCCCACCAAGAGTGTATAAGTGTTCCCTTTTCTCCACAATCTTGTCAGCATCTGTTATTAAAAAAAACAAAAAACTTTTTAGTAATTGCTTCTGCTTCTCTGATTGTTGTGAGATGGTATCTCACTGTGGTTTTAATTTGCATTTCTCTGATGATTACTGATAATAAGCATTTGTTCATATGTTTTTTGGCCATGTGTACATCTTCTTTTGAGAAGTGTCTGTTCATGTCATACTTAATTGAGGTTTTTTGGTTTTCTGCTTGTTGATTTGTTTACATTCCTTATAGATTCTGGATATTAGAACTTTGTCAGATGCATAGTTTGCAAATATTTTCTCCCAGTCTGTAGGTTATCTGTTTACTCTGTTGATACTTTCGTTTGCTGTGCAGAAGCTCTTCAGTTGAGTTAGGTCCCAATTTCTGTCTTTGTCACAATTGGTTTTGGGGAGTTAGCCATAAATTCTTTGCCAAAGTCTATCTTGAGAAGGATATTTCCTAGGTTTTCTTCTAGAATTTTAATATTTTGAGGTTTTACATTTAAATCTTTAAACTATCTTGGGTTAATTTTTGTATATAGTGAGAGTTAGGGGTCCAGTTCTATTATTTTGCATATGAGTAGTCAGTTATCCCAGAACTATTTATTGAAGAAAGGGTACTTTCCACATTGCTTGTTTTTGTCAATTTTTTCAAAGATGATTGTAGGTATGTAGCCTCATTTCTGGGTTCTCTATTCTGTCTCATTGGTCTATGTGTCTGTTTTTGTAGTAGTATCATGCTGTTTGGGTTACTATAGCATTGTAGTATAGTTTGAAGTTGGGTAATGTGATGCCTGGGCTTTGTTCTTTGTGCTTAGGATTCCTATGTGTATTCAGGCTCTTTTTTTGGTGCCAAATACATTTTAGAATAAATTTTTATAATTTCGTGAAAAATGACATTGCATTTTGAAATGGATAGCATTGAGTCTGCAATTTGTTTTTGGAAGTATGGCGATTTTAACTATTTGTTCTCCTAATTCATGAGCATGGAATATTCTTCCATTTGTTTGTATCATTTCTTATTTCTTTCAGAAGTGTTTTGTAGTTCTCCTTGTAGAGAATTTTCACCTTCTTGGTTAGATGGATTCCTAGGTATTTTATTTTCTTTGTGGCTAGTGTAAATGGAATTGTGTTCTTGATTTAGTTCTCAGCTAGAATGTTAGTGGTGCATAGAAATGTTACTAATTTGTGTACATTTTTTTAATCCCGAAACTTTATTGAATTTGTTTATCAGTTTCAGGAGCCTTCTGACAGAGTCTTTAGGGTTTTCTATGTATAAAATTATTTCATCAGCAAAGAGAGACAGTATCACTACTTCTTTTCCAATTTTAATGCCTTTTATTTCCTTCTCTTGCCTGATTGCTTTGGCTAGGACTTCCAGTACCATGTTGAATTAAAATGGCGGGAGTGGTCATCCTGGTCTTGTTTCGGTTCTCAAGGGGTATGGTTCCAGCTTTTGCCCATCAATATGATGTTGGCTGTGGGTTTGTCATAGATGGCTCTTAATATTTTGAGGTATGTTCCTTTGATGCCTATTGACAGTTTTTATCATGAAGGGATGTTGGATTTTACAGAAAGCTTTTTCTGCATCTATTGAGATGATCATATAGTTTTTGTTTTTAATTATGTTTATGAGGTGAATCACATTCGTTGACTTTGTAGGTTGAACCAACCTTGCATCCCAAAAATAAAGCTTACTTGATCATGTGAATTAACTTTTGATGCACTGACAGATTCAATTTGCTAGCATTTTGTTGAGGATTTTATGTCTATGTTCATTAAGGATATTTAGTTGTAGTTTTCTTTTTTTCATTATGTCTCTGACAGATGTTGGTATCATGGTGATGATGGCTTCATAGAATGAGTTAGGAAGAAGCCCCCACTCCTTGATTTTTTCCAAAAGTTTCAGTAAGATCGGTATCAGTTCTTCTTTGTATGGCTGTTGGATTTTGGCTGTGAATCCATCTGGTCCTGGGCTATTTTTAGTTAGTAGGGTTTTTATTACTGATTAAATTTCTGAACTTGTTATTGGTCTGTTCAGGTTTTCACTTTCTTCCTGGTTGAAATATGATAAATTTTGTGTTACCAGGAATTTATCCATTTCTTCTAGGTTTTCTAGCTTGTTTGTATAGAGGTGTTCATAATAGTCTTTGACGATCTTTTCTATTTCTGTGGGATTGTTCGTAACATTGTTTTGTCAGTTCTATTTGTGTTTATTTGGATCTTTTCTCTTTTTCTTTGTTAATCTAGCTAACAGTCTATGAATTTTGTTTATTTTTTTTCAAAGAAAAACTCTTGGTTTTATTTATCTCTTGTATGGACTTTTTGGTCTCAATTTATTCAGTTCTCTCTGACTTTAGTTATTTCTCATCTTTTGCTGGCCTTGGGTTTGGACTGTTCCTTTTTTTTAATAGTTCCTCTAGATGCAGTGTTAAGTCACTAATTTGAGATCTTTCTAAACTTCTGATGAGGCATGTATTGCTATAAATTTTCCTCTTATCACTGCTTTAACTGCATCCCAAAGGTTTTGGTAAGTTTGTTTCTATTTTTATTAATTTTAAATAATGTTTTGTGATTTCTGCTTTAATTTCATTGTTCACCCAAGAGTTCTCAAGGGGTACAGTTCCAGCTTTTGACCATTCAATATGATGTTGGCTGTGGATTTGTCATAGATGGCTCTTAATATTCATTCAGAAACAAGTTGTTAAATTTCCATGTTTTTCTGTAGTTTTGAGAGATCATCTTGGTATTTTTTTCTATTTTTATTGTGTGCCTTGTTATGATTTTGATTCTTTGAATTTATTGAGACTTGCTTTGTGGCCAGTCTTAGAATATGATATGTTTTTTGTGTGTGCAGATAAGAAGAATCTATATTCTGCAGTTGTTGGGTGGAGTACTCTGTAGATGTCTATGAGGTCCAATTGGTCAAGTGTTGTCTTTAAGACCAGAATTTCTTTGTTAGTTTTCTGTTTTAGTGATTCATCTGACGTTGTTAGTGGGATACTGAAGTCCCTTACTATTATTGTGTGGCTGTCTAACTCTTTTCATAGGTGAAGAATAACTTGTTTTATGAATCGGGGTGCTCCAAATTTGGGTGCATATATATTTAGAATAGTTAAGTCTTCTGTCAAATTGAACCCTTTATCATTTTGTAATGCCCTTCTTTGTCCTTCCTGATTGCTGTTGATTTAAAGTGTGTTTCATGTGATATAAGAATAGGAATGCCTTCCTTTTTTTTGTTTCCTGGTTGCCTAGTAAATATTTCTTCATCCTTTTACTTTGAGCCTGTGGGTGTCATTACATGTGAGATGGGTCTCTTGAAGACAGCAGGCAGTTGGCTCTTGGCTTTTTATCCACGTTGCCACTCTATGCCTTTTATGTGGGGAATTTAGGCCATTTACATTTCTTCTCCTGATATATCCTTTTTATATTTTTATGATTGCCTTTTAAAATATATTGAATGGTTGTAATTCCAGGGAAATGTCTTTCAGAACAGTATTTATTCCCATCTACATGTTTTGGAGAGTGCACTAGGGGACATTGAAGTTTATTTCCTGAAAAGAGTTTAATTTTAAAATGTATTTTATTTAATAACTCAATGATTCAGGGAATGTCTAGGTATTTCAGAGATTGTTTTAGACAGTTTGTTTTCTTGTGATATGTGACCACTTCATCTAAGCTGAATAATGTCTTCATAATGTCCACTTAGAATCTTTTGAATTCTGTAGGATCTGTACTGATGTCATTGTTTCCTTTCTGATATTGGTAATTTTCCTGGGGTAGGATTCTTAGCTCCTCCTGAGGTCCTGCCTCTAAAATTCAGGGAACAATGAGTCAGATTAGTACTCTGATTTCAAAGGGAAAGCTGATCATCTACCATTTTTTGTTTATGTAAATGGACACATTAACATCCCTTGTCTGAACCTTAGTTACCTTGTTTGGAGCATTTTGCTATAAATCTCACTTCTCAGAGTGGTTGTGGGGCTTGATGTGGCTGGGGTATGGGATGGCTTAAACATAATTTATTTCCAGACCAGGTTAAGGCATGAAGGGGTTGGGACTTGTTAGAATCCTGTTGTCGGACTCCACAGTAAGGGTAGACATTTGAGGCACCCAATCAAAAACCTCAGTTGTTCCTAGCACTGAGAAATTTGATAGAATGTTTCTAAAACATTATTCATGGTCTAATGCACAAAAAGTAAAGTGATAGCCCTGGAAGTAGACAGGGAACCATAAGAAAAAAGAGAGAGCAAAGCTCAGTGGTCACCAGTGCCTGGGACCATCAAGGGGTTATTAAGGAGGAAGTTTCCACCTCTGTGGGGAACAGAAGAGGCTCCCTAGGGTCCACACACACAGGGAGTGAGCCAAGACTCTGGGCGAGGCTGGAAGCTCTGGGTCTCCTTCTGTGAGATTTTCTTTTTTTTTTTTGAGATGGAGTCTTGCTCTGCCACCCAGGCTAGAGTGCAACGGCGCGATCTCGGCTCATGGCAACCTCTGCATAAAGTGGTATGTATTTAAGGCATGCATTAGACAAATTACTAAGTATTTACTAGATAAGAAAAAATTATATCTGAATCTTTTCAAATTGCCGTCTTATGCATTATATTCTCTTTTTATAGTGCAATTTCTTAATAGTTAATGCCAGAAGATTTTTTTTTCTTCCTTTCTTTCTTTCTTTTTTTTTTTTTTTTGAGACAGAGTCTCACTCTGTTGCCAGGCTGGAGTGCAGTGGCACGATCTCGGCTCACTGCAACCTCCGTCTCTCGGGTTCATGCCATTCTCCCGCCTCAGCCTCCTGAGAAGCTGGGACTACAGGCACCCTCTACCATGCCCAGCTATTTTTTTTTTTTTTTTTGTATTTTTAGTAGAGACGGGGTTTCACCATGTTCGCCAGGATGATCTCTGTCTCTTGAACTCGTGATCCACCTGCCTTGGCTTCCCAAAGTGCTGGGATTACAGGCATGAGCCACTGCACCTGGTCGCCAAAAGATATTTTTAAAAACCTAAATGCCACTTGAAATGAATAAGACCCTCAATAATTCATGGGATATACATGTGAACTTATGACATATGATGAAATAAGCAGGTTACAAAATTGTAATATATCAAGCAAGGTAGAAAGCCATGGCAGAAAAAGAGACAAGCATTTTCAAGATAAGGAATGAAAGAGGGGAAACAGTACTATTGATTTTACAGATTTTACAAAGATATCTTAGGTGTGTTTTCCTAAATAATAAATGTACCCTCCTTTTGACCTTTATGTAATGAAATAACCATGCACACATTTTCAAATAATACTTCATTTACTTGACTTTATGCTTGAAAATTGAAGTATGGTGCTGTTTGTTATTTTCATTTATGCATTTTACTACCTTGTAATATTCCACTGAGTCTATTTACCACACTATGTTTATTTTTTTCGTAGGTGGACTTTGGTATTTTATAGCTTTGGCTAATAGGAACAGCATTCCTATAACAGTTGTGAGTGTATCATGACACATAAGTAGACATTTATCTCTAGGGTACATAATTAAGTACATAATTAAGAAGGGTCACAGCCATGTGCCTCCTCTTTTTAACTAGATAATTCCAATACACTTCCTTAATTGATTAAAGCAATTTGTACTCTTACTATTAATGTACTAAAATTCTACATGTTCAATATTCTTTCCAAAAAATGATTTTGCTACTTTTTTCTTTTCTTGAGACTGAGTCTTGCTCTATCACCCAGGCTGTAGTGATCTCGGCTCACTGCAACCTCCGCCTCCTGGGTTCATGCGATTCTCGTGCCTTGGCCTCCCAAGTAGCTGGGATTACAGGCAGGCGCCACCATGTCTGGCTAATTTTTGTATTTTTAGTAGAGACAGCGTTTCACCATGTTGGCCAGGCTGGTCTCGAACTCCTGACCTCAGGTGATCCTCCTGCCTCGGCCTCCCAAAGTGTTGGGATTACAGGCATGAGCCACCACACCCGGCCTATTTTTTTCTTTTCCCTCCATTGTGCTATGATTTTTGACATTACAATTTTACTGAAACTACACCATAAGAATGAAGCAGAAATTATTATAACCTTTAAATAAACTTTACAACTGGTTCATACTCGTGTGAACGACAATTCTTTTGACTACTTCCCAACTGTGCATTCAATGGCGTCATATGGGCACCCTGAAGTTGGCCATAAAGGACGTATTTATACCACACTAATCAGCAAATACCATAAATCTGGGGCTTTATATGTTCAGAGTTTTCTTAAGAAAATAATTTTTTCAGAGAGCCAGTTTAACAGAATACCATGAGGCTGAGCCTTCGAGCGTTAGTGTGCTCATTCTGAGAGATGATATTTCTGGACAAAGTACACAGGTATCATCCGATGAAGAGTGAAGGGAATTCAGGGTCCAGAGAGGGTGCTAGGGCATCATTTCAGACTCATATTTCCCTTTTTTTTTTTTTTTTTGGAGATGGAGTCTTGCTCTGTTGCCCAGGCTGGAGTGCAGTGGCAAGATCTTGGCTCACTGCAACCTCCGCCTCCCGGGTTCAAGCTATTCTCCCGCCTCAGCTTCCTGAGCAGCTGGGATTACAGGTGCTCACTGCCACACCCAGCTAATTTTTGTATCTTTTAGTAGAGACAGGGTTTCACCATGTTGGCCAGGTTGGTCTCGAACTTCTGACCTCAAGTGATCCGCCCACCTCAGCCTCCCAAAGTGCTGGGATTACAGGTGTGAGCCACTGTGCCTGGCCTCAGACTCATGTTTCAAAGTCCCAAATACAAATCTGCCCACCTATTCCAGTTATTTAATCCAGATCTATGCTCAGAACTGAAAAGATGGAGAATCAATAGTTCACTTTAGAGAATGCGGTAGTTGGAAACAAAGACAAATGTATTACATGACAGTGGACCAGAGCACGTGATCGCAGGGGTGTGGATGCAAACCCACCATGGGGGACGTGCCTTCACATCACAGAGAGCGAAAGGAAGGGAGGGGCAGACACGGAGGATCCACAACAGCAGGACTGAAAGCACTGCCATTTAATGGAAGTTTAATGGAGGAAGCGTTCTCTACAGGCACCCAGACATCTTCCTGAACCTGACCCAAGCCTCCCCTTCTCGACTTTCTCAGTAGACGGTTTCCCGAATGATGGTCCAGACTTTCTTCCAGAACCTCCTAGGACTATCAGATTCATTGCCAAGGCTCTGGCACTCTGAAGGGTGCATTGTTCTCTCATGTATTTACCTCCTTGCTGCATCTTGGGGACTTCTCTAGCTGTGCCAGTCCTAAAGCAGCAGAATCCCGAGGACCACCAGGACCAAGCCAGCCACAGCCACGCGGATGAGATTCTCCACTGTGTAATCCTGGGGGTGTGAGGCTGGGGATGGTGGACCAAGAGGTCTCAGAGGTCAGGGCAGATCAACATCACCCGGGACCCCTGGATGTCCACCCAGGGCACCCACCTCCCCTTCACAGGACCTGACCCTCTGTGCCAGCCCCATAACCGAGAGCATCTCCTTACACACCAGTCTTGGAGTCTGTCTTGTTTTGCGATGGGCTGAGGGTCTCAGCTGCTCCTGAGAATCAACCAAAAAAGGGGGAGGTGTGTGAGGAGTTGAAGAGACTTAAGCCAACATGTCCCTCAGTTGCTGCATTCCTTTGTGTCTACACTTCTCCTAACTGCTCTGTAGTTGTGTGATAGAACCTTTCCCTGCCGTGGCAGAGGTACATTCGCATACATACATACATATATGCATAGGTGTAAATATGTGTGTATACATAATATGTGTTATGCATATGTGTATACATAATATGTATTATGCATATGTGTATAGATAATATGTATTATGCATATGTGTATGCATAATATGTATTATAAGATATAGTGTGAGTATATATAAATATATAATATATAAGATATATAATAGTGTGTGTATACATATAAATATATAATAAGATATGTAATAGTGTGTGCATATATAAATATATAATATATAATAAGATATATAATAGTGTGTATATATAAATATATAATACATAATATATTATAAGATATATAATAGTATGTATATATAAATATATAATACATAATATATAAGATATATAATAGTGTGTGTATATATAAATATATAATACATTATATATTATAAGATATATAATAGTATATATAAATATATAGTACATAATATATAATAAGATATATAATAGTGTGTGTATACATATAAATATATAATAAGATATGTAATAGTGTGTGCATATATAAATATATAATATATAATAAGATATATAATAGTGTATATATATAAATATATAATACATAATATATTATAAGATATATAATAGTATGTATATATAAATATATAATACATAATATATAAGATATATAATAGTGTGTGTATATATAAATATATAATACATTATATATTATAAGATATATAATAGTATATATAAATATATAGTACATAATATATAATAAGATATATAATAGTGTGTGTATACATATAAATATATAATAAGATATGTAATAGTGTGTGCATATATAAATATATAATATATAATAAGATATATAATAGTGTATATATATAAATATATAATACATAATATATTATAAGATATATAATAGTATGTATATATAAATATATAATACATAATATATAAGATATATAATAGTGTGTGTATATATAAATATATAATACATTATATATTATAAGATATATAATAGTATATATAAATATATAATACATAATATATAATAAGATATATAATAGTGTGTGTATATATAAATATATAATACATAATATATATTATAAGATATAATAATGTGTGGGTAATATAAATATATAATACATAATATATAAGATATATAATAGTGCATATATAAATATATAATACATAATATATATTATAAGATATAATAATGTGTGGGTATATATAAATATATAATACATAATATATATTATAAGATATAATAATGTGTGGGTATATATAAATATATAATACATAATATATAAGATATATAATAGTGTATATATAAATATATAATACATAATATATATTATAAGATATATAATAGTGTGTGAGTATATATAAACACATACATATATATTTGAAGTGAGAAGAGTATTATATAATTTAGAAACAAACAAGTTTGTCCTCCATTTTCTTGTGGTTAATGTAATTATTATCAATAAATCAGAAGAGATCATTTCGGAAAGGATTGAAAGGGAGTGTGTCTGTGGTAAGTTAATAGGAACTAAAATTAGCATACCCAAACCAATAGCTTTCTCATCCATACGTAACTAATTTTAGAAAATAGAAAGGAATCAAAGACTTTCAAATTATTCAAGTAGTAAAACAATGCTTAAAATTCACAATGTCCACAATTTTTATGAATACAACTTCAAGCATCTGCTAACTGTATAAAGTTTAATTTTAAATGTATTGGATACAAAGACATTATTAATGAGAAGTTATTCTCCATCATGAATGCACATATTTAATTTAATCCCAAAGAAAATCAGAGCACAGTTATTTTACATCATAACGCTACCTAACAAATTAAATGTGTAAATTATAAATGCCAGCATTGCTTTGAAATCTTCAGAAACAGAAAGAGAAACTAGATATGTGGACATAAAAAATAAAGGACAGAAAGGAATTGCACACGAGGTTTGCTGTTGAATAATTTGCCTGCATTGCTGCAGTGAGCAGGTGCATGATCTCCCCTTCGTCTCAGGTATGCACTGAGTATTTTGGGGCCGCCAGGGGAGCCCAGGTGGGGAGTGGGTGGGGCCTCCATCTTCTACCCTCAGCCTAAGCATGATTCCTCCAAGGTTTCTCCATATCTCATTTCAGCCCTCCCTGGCCTTTAGCCCCATCTGAGGTCTCTGGGGTGGGAGCCCAGGATTAGGAGGTCCCTGACTATTTCCACCCTCTCATGGGCTGGGCCCTCCCCTGCCGACCCTCCCCCTTTACTCCCCTCTTTCCTTAGCGTCCTGAGCTCTCCTGGGGGCAGGGCCTGAGCTGAGGTTTGAGCTCAGAGAGGACAGGGTCAGCGGCCTCACCTGAGACCACGAGCTCCAGGGGGTCACTGGGGTGAGACAGCAGGTAGGGGAAGAATCTGCGTGAGCTGTAGCACCTGTAGGTCCCCGCGTGGGCTGAGGTCACAGGACTCATGGGGAATTCAGCCTGGTGCTGCTGAGCTTGGTGCTCTGATCTCAGACGCAGTGGGTGATGGGCTGCCCCCTCCTTGGTCAGAAGGAAAGTGTCCAACTGCTCCCGTGACTGACACAGCAGGGTCACGTTCTCTCCTGAGGCCACCGTGGGGCCCGGCTGCACCGAGAGGGAGGGTCTGCCACGGATCTGTCCTGGAGAGAAGAAGGATGGGTGAGGGGCTGCCCCACCTCGTTCTGAGCTGACACCTCCCCAGGCCTCTCCCTGGGACCCTCAGTGTCTCTGTCTCTGTTTTCTCTGAGTCTCCCCCTCCCCGCCCATCCCCTGTCTCTGTCTGTCTCTCCGTCCCTTAGGACCCCCACCCCTCATCCCGGCCATCACCACCTGGGCTCCCCCAGCAGGGCCTGTGCGGAGCCTGGGTCCCTGACTGAACCTGCTGGGCTCCTCACCTGCGATCAGGATGCTCAGGGGGTCACTGGGGGCCGACCACTCGGAGGAGAGGTTGTGTGCACCGTAGCATCTGTACTGGCCCCCGTGGGAGACCCTCACAGGGCCCAGGGTGAAGTTGGCCTGGGAGAGCCCAGCCTGGGGCTGCCGGCCAGAGCCCTGGACGAGGTCATGTCCCCCCTCCTTGTACAGAGTGAATTTGTCATAGCCGACATCAGAGCCACACTGGAGGGTCAGATTCTCCCCAGGGGCCACGACAGGGCCCTGCAGGGTCAGGAGGGAGGGCTTCCTAGACACGCCTGGAGGGAAAGAAGAGTCGGGACTAGGAGGGCTGGTTCCTCCCACACCCCTTCCTTCTCCCCTCCTGGCCCTGCAGGTCTCACTGTCTCTCACACTCAGTGTCTCTGGGCTCAGGAGTCCCAAACTTCCCTTGTTCCACCCTCCTACATGGGGCTCCGTGAGAGTAAGTTCTCAAAAATAAATAGGGCAAGGAGGAAGACATCCATACCTAAGACCAGGATCTCCATGGTATCACTGGGTTCCGACCACACCCAGGGGAAGTTCGTGTAATGCCCATAGCATCTGAACATCCACCGGTGACTGGCAGCCACACGGCCCACAGGGAACAGGGCCAGGGACAAGGGACAGCCCCTTGGAGAGTTCCTGTGAGTCCAGCATCCAGGAGAGCTTGTTTTCTCCTTCCTCAATCAAAATGAACCTGTGAAATCCCACCCTTGAGCTACACTGGATGGTCACGTTCTCTCCTGAGGTCACCACAGGGCTCGGCAGGGCTGAGAGAGTGGGTTTTCTGTGGGCTCCTAGGAGAGAAGGAGACACTGTCTTAAATGGGGCTCACGCGTCCCACATCATCCCCCAGGGCTGAGTTATTAGAACGGAGATGCCCTTGAGAGCTGACCCCCTTCCTGCAGGCAGAGCCTGGGGCTGGGACCCCTGAGTGTCCTCTTACCTGTCACCACCAGCTCCAGGGGCTCGCTGCGCTCTGACCAGCCTGCAGGGCTGAGATAGTGACAGTGGTATCTCCCTGCATGGTGCTCTCTCATGGATGGGATGAAGAAGTTGGTCTTGTTCCTGGGCTCTGGTGGGCTCTGTTGGTACCAGGTCATGGGGTTTCCTTCCTTGGTGAGATAGTAACCCTGGGTATCCAGGGTCCCCTGGCACCAGAGGGTCATGGGGCTCTCCCAGGTAATCACAGAGCCTGGCTCAGCCCAGAGGCTGGGTTTGGGGAGGGTCCCTGGAAGAAACCACAGGCTGGGGTCCACAGACCTCCCCCGCTCCTCATTCCCAGCTCAGGTCACAGACCCTCTTGATTTTCTCACCCTCAGTTCAGAAGCCCCTGAGATGAGAGTCCAGGTGCTGAGTGTGAGGTCAGGCATGGGAGGTTAGCAGAGACTCACCTGCAAGTGCTTGGGCTTTCTGGCCCAGACTCAGCCATGGAGAAGAGTTTCCTGTGGGGGATTTGGAACACAGAGGTGTGGCTGCTTCCCTTCCTGTTGGAGCACCAGTAGCCACTGGAGCCCTGAGGCTCTCTGGTGAACAAGGCTGCTGTGGGACCCTCCCCACCTCAGCCCAGTGCCCCTCCTGTCCCTCGTCTCTCCACCACTGACTGAGGCACAGAAGAACAGTGAGGATGGACACCATGATGCCTGCTCTGCGTGCTCCAGCTGTGGGACAGGTGACCACATGGCCCTCCATGACAGACAGATGCACGGATGTGGTTAAGTCAGAGCCTGCTGCCGCCTGCCTGGGTCCCCACAGCTGTGAACCCACAGGAAGTGGACAGCCCCTTGCTGGGCCTGTCTCTTATTCCCCCCCCAGTGCAGGGGCTCAGGAGGACCCAGGCCCTCTGCACACATCTCAGCCCAGACCTGAGGTGTCCCCTGATTGCCAGGGATCCTTTGTCTGAAAACCTGCCCGTGGAGGGTGGACCCAACATCATATCTATGTCAGCTCCCAACTTAGCTGGGTCTAAACTGAAAACACAGCCCTTATTTTCTCAGAGCCTCCACTCATGACATCGGCTTTCTTTTTCCCCACTGATGCAAAGACAAATATTTCCCAGCAGAAAGTCATCCTGATCTGGAGAGACCCATTTCCTGCGTTCAGTAAATAAAGTCAGTTTCATTAGGGGAGGCTCTGGGAAAATAAGGGGATGCAGACTAGCAGAAGATGAACATTTAGCTACTTGTTTCTCAATTAATTGATTTATTACCAAAGAGAGAGAAGTGGAAACATGAGAATAGGGACCATGACTAGAATGTGGTTGAGGGAATGGTTTCTATCTTATTCCCTGGCAGAGAACTAAGGGATAAGAATGAGAAAGCTGGCTGGGTGCAGTGGCTTACACCTGTAATCCCAGCACTTTGGGAGGCCGAGGCAGGAAGATCACAAGGTCAGGAGTTCAAGACCAGCCTGACCAACATGGTGAAACCCCTGTCTCTACTAAAAATACAAAAACTAGCTGGGTGTGCTGGCATGCGCCTGTAATCCCAGCTACTAGGGAGGCTGAGGTGGGAGAATCGCTTGAACCTGGGAGGTGGAGCTTGCAGTGAGCCGAGATCGCGCCACTGCACTCCAGCCTGGGCAACAAAGCCGGACTGTCTCAAAAAAAAAAAAAAAAAAAAAAAAAAAGAAAGAGAGAAAACCCAGCAGTGAGAGGTAGTTGTGAGAACACACTAAAGAGGAAAGATAATCCAGGGCTGGGAGTGGTGGCTCATGCCTGTAATTCCAGCACTTTGGGAGGCTGAGGCTGGCAGATCACAAGGTCAGGAGTTCGAGACCAGCCTGACCAACATGGTGAAACCCTGTGTCTACTAAAAATGCAAAAATTAGCTGGGTGTGGTGGTGGGTGCCTGTAATCCCAGCTACTCAGGAGGCTGAGGTGGGAGAATCGCTTGAACCCAGGAGACGGAGGTTGCAGTGAGCTGAGATTGCACCACTGCACTCCAGCATAGGCAACAAAGCCAGACTCTGCCAAAAACAAAAACAAAAACAAAAACAAAAACAAAAAACAAGAAAGCTCAGTGAGAGGTGGTTGTGAGAACACACTAAAGAGGAAAGATCATTCAGGGCTGGGAGTGGTGACTCACGCCTGTAATCCCAGCACTTTGGGGGGCCACAGGCGGGTGGATTACCTGAGGGCAGGAGTTCAAGACCAGTCTGGCCAACATGGTGAAACCTCGTCTCTACTAAAAATACAAAAACTAGCTGGGTGTGATGGCGGGTGCCTGTAATCCCAGCTACTTGAGAGGCTGAGTCAGGAGAATCTCTTGAACCCAGGAGGCAGAGGTTGCAGTGAGCTGGGATCGTGCCACTGTACTCTAGCCTGGGTAACAGAGCAAGGCTCTGTCTCAAAAAAATAAAAATTAGAAAGAAAAAAGGAGAAGGAGAAGAGGAAGGAGACAGAAAGGAGAGAAACATCCCTGAGGTGGAACATTACATGCAACATGGAGTAGGCAGGGAATCCGATAGAGCACTGAAACTCTCGCTGGGTACGGTGGCTAACATCTGTACTCCCAGCACTTTGGGTGGCCGAGGTGGATGGATCACCTGAGGTCAGGAGTTTAAGACCAGCCTGACCAACATGGTGAAACCCCATCTCTACTAAAAATACAAAAGGCTGGGTGTGGTGGCTCACGCCTGTAATCCCAACACTTTGGCAGTCTGATACAGGCGGATCACATGAGATCAGGAGTTTGAGACCAGCCTGGCCAAGATGGCAAAACCTCATCTCTACTAAAAATACAAACATTACCTGGCTGTGGTGGCAGTCGCCTGTAATCCCAGCTATGCAGGAGGCTGAGGCAGGAGAATCGCTTGAACCTGAGAGGTGGAGGTTGCAGTGAGTCAAGATCGTGCCATTGCACTCCAGCCTGGCCAATAGGAGCAAAACTCCATGTGAAAATAAAATAAAATAAAATAAAATATAATAAAATAAAATAATAAATCAAAAAAGGACTGGACATCTCCTGTGGGTTGTCAGTGAATGGAACTAAGCAAGCCACCGCTCTTTCCCTTTTGTCCCGCAAGTGTCTTTCTTGGCCTCCAGGAAGTGAGTTCCATCATGTCAGACCCTATGTTTGTTCCTGCTGGGTTCACTGAGGCTCCTCCCTTTCCACCTGTGGCTCCCCATGGGTTCCCAGTCCCCAGCCAGTGTTGTGAATCGAGCCAGGAAGACCAGCCCTATCACACCCCTCCTGATGGAATTCCCACAGTGTCATCCTGGAGAACAGGGGCTGGGGGCTGGGGTAGGATCAGAGACCTTTTCATGTGGGCCAGGCCCCTCCCTCCACAGGAGCTCTGACACGAAGCTCATCACCATTCATTTCACCCTGACGATATTCTTCCTGCCCAGACACCCCCGTTCTCCCTATGTCATCATGGGCACCTCAGTGAAATCCATGGTTGAGGGTCTCTGTCACTTACTCTGCCCTCTTCTTGGAAAATTTCCTTGGATCCTTCCAGAGCCCTTCCTGAGTGTGCTGCAGGGTCTCTGCCACATGACACACTCTCAGGAACCCTCATCCTCCCCTTAATCTACTGCGCCCACATAGCCAGGTGCAGGCTCCGTTTCTTCATCTTCCCTTCCCCACAGGCCCCGATGGAGAGTGGATTAGACTCGCTCCTGAGTAGGGACTCAGGTCACTCTGACCCCTTCCTCCCTGTGGACGAGGCCTCTGTCCCAGAGCTTTGGAGGCTGAAGGGCCTTGTGGATTCCCGCACTGGCCACAGTCTCCGATGCAGATGGGGAACTGGGGACCTGGGAGGGGTTGCCTAGCCCAAGGCCACATAGCTGGGCGGTGGCACAGCCTTCACTCACACAGGGACATTCCATCTTCCCAGGGACTTCACACTGGAGGCTAAGAGCCCCACTTTGCACACCACATTCAGGGGTAGATTCTGTGTGTGACTAACAAGTTCTCTTAGGGTTCCGAGGTAACAGGACAGCAAATGGATGAGTGAGAGTTTCCCTCACCCCACTGAAGTAGGACCATTCTCTGTGGAGGGTTGGTCCCCTGACTTCCTCTACTCTGTCATCTCCCTAGTGACTGATAGGGGTCCTGGGGTCTCTTCCCTGGAATCCCATGAGGGACAATTCCTTTCCTGAAGGGAAGGTATAGAGAGGACTAGCAGGTGCCTGGTGATGGAAAGTCCCCATAATCAAGAGACATTGCCTCCCCCCCCCGGCATGATAAATATCTGGGTTTCCAAATGGGAAATCTGTCTGTGATGAGAGCTCAGGAGGGGCTTCTGGAAGATGGAAAAGGGCTAGAGGCTGAGGCCACTGCTTATCTCCCCACACTGTATCTGGCTTCACCTCCTGTGTTTGTCCTGACCTCTTCCTTCACTCACCTGGATAAGTAGGACCCCAAAGTGGGCCTCCAGACAGGAAGCAGTGGAGAGTGTGGAGCTGCCCTGTCTACCACCCTACACCCTGACACCACTGTCATACTCAACCTCTCTTTTCCTCTTTGTGTTTCTCATTGCTTCATTTTGTCTGGAATCCCTAAGATTCCCATGTCTCCAGCAGGCTGTCCCTCAGACGTGGCTATATGATTTAGTGTTTCACAGGGCATGCAGCAGGCATGGGCTACCCCCAGTAACAGTGGTCATCTAGGGCTGATCACTCACAGGCAGAGCCATCGACAGAGAGCTGCAGCATCTAGAGGTCCCATCACCAGCCCCAAGACCCAGAGAGAAGTTGGCCTGAATGCCCCACTCTGTCTCTGCACCCCAGTGAGCCAGTGTCCAGGGGCCTTACCTTCCTCGTTAGAAGGCACAGGTCAAATGAGCTTCCAGAGCTGCAGAGCAAAGTCACATTCTCTCCATCATTACTTACTGCAGGGCACAGTTGAGCTGAGAAGGAAGGTCTCTTGTAGACGCCTGGGGAAAAAAATAGTCCTTGACTGTCGAGCACAAGCCTTACCCAGCCTATCCTCAGGGCATGAAAAAGGCATTCTCTCCACCTGTTCTGGGGAGCACACTCTGTTACCCACTCGTGCCTCTCTCCATCTCAGTTCTAGCTCTACAAGCTGGCTCATCATGTGTGTGTTTTCCTGTCTGTCTTTGCTCAGCTTTTCCTTGAATCTCTTGCTTTTTGCCGGTGCGTGTGTGGCTTTCTGCCCTTAGAACCATATGAGATTTAGGGTTCTCCTGGCACATAGAACTGTTTACTTTGAGGACCCTCAGAAAACATAGCCCTGGGCTAAGGCTCCCTGTCCTGGAACTAGAAGGTTATGGGTGTCACCATTTCCCAACAGCATGTCTGAAAGTGCCAGAATCTTCAAAGAGTCTGCAACATGTTTGTAGGATCTTTATAGGGTCTGATATTGCAGGGACCAACCAAAGTGCCCTCACACCCCAAGACGCTGGAAGTGACCCCTTGCTGAAAGTGGTTGGAAGTTTCACATAGAAGTTTGAGTTAAGCCACATTGCTGAGCAATGCCTCAGCATCCCAGTCTTCATCCAGACCTTCCAGGAGCCTGGCTGGAGGGGGTGTCTCTGGTGTGTCACTGAGCCTTATAGCAGAGGAAGGGGGCTATGGTGGAAACTACCTCCAAGATACCACTCAGTCCTAAGCTGGGGAACAAGCTGAGCTTGGATTCTGGTAGTGAATGAACCGGGAAACATTTATTTGAAGGGTTCTAAGAGTAGCATCGTGTGGGTGCGTTAATTGTATGTGAAGGGGAAGATCCTGAGAAAACAAGAGCTGCTCCACTCTGTGCCTGGGTTTACCAGAGGGACCGATGAGGTCCTCACAAGACCCAGGAATCCCACCGGGGGAAGGAGGCTTAGGGAGATGTGTTTAAGACTGTTAAGTGAGTCACAGACAGAAGCAGATCAAGCCATCCCACCACCTAGGTTTGTGGTTTTGTTTCTCCTAAACTTCCTTTCTGTAAGTAGCAGAACCTTCTCATCACCATCCTTCAAAACCTCTGCATTGTTTGAGCTCCTTGTATTTTCTGGAGATTAATCTCTTGCTTGCAAATATTCTTTCCCATTCTGTAGGTGGTCTCTTCACTCTGCTGTTTGTTTCCTTGATTGTGCAGAAGGTTTGCAGTTTGCTATGATCTCATTTGCCTATTTTTGCTTTTGCTGCCTGAGCTTTTGAGGGTTTTTTTTTTTTGTTTTTTTTTTTGAGACGGAGTCTCGCTCTGTCACCCAGGCTGGAGTTCAGTGGCATGATCTCAGCTCATTGCAACCTCCGCCTCCCGGGTTCAAGTGATTCTCCTGCCTCAGCCTCCCTAGTAGCTAGGACTACAGGCGAGTGCCACCACACCCGGCTAATTTTTGTATTTTTAGTAGAGGCAGGGTTTCACCACGTTTGGCCAGGCTGGTCTCAAACTCCTGACTTCAAGTGATCCACCCACCTTGGCCTCCCAAAGTGCTGGGATTACAGGCGTGAGCCACTGCGCCCGGCGTTGTATTGGATTTTTAATTCAGCCCTATTTTCTCCGACATTTGATATTGGCATTTTTGTCTTTTTTGGATATGCTAGGATCATGGTGTCATAATTTAATTTTAATTTTTATTTTTATTTTAAGTTCCGGGGTACATGTGCAGAATGTGTGGGCTTATTGCATAGGTCAATGTGCGCCATGGTGGTTTCCTGCACCTGTCAACCCATCACCTAGGTATTAAGCCCAGCATACATTAGCTATTTTTCCTAATGCTCTCCCTACCCCTACCCCACCCCCCCCCCGACAGGCCCCAGTGTGTGTTGTTCCCCTCCCTGTGTTCACGCATTCTCATTGTTCAGCACCCACTTGTAAGTGAGAACATGCAGCGTTTGATTTCCTGTTCCTGTGTTAGTTTCCTGAGGATAATGGTTTCCAGCTCCATCCATGTCCCTGCAAAGGACATGATCTTGTTTCTTTTTATGGCTTCATAGTATTCCGTGGTGTATATGTCTCACATTTTCTTTATCCAGTCTATCATTGATGGGCATTTGGGTTGATTCTATGTCTTTGCTATTGTGAATAGTGCTGCGATGAACACATGTGTGCATGTATCTTTGCAATAGAATGATTTATATTCCTTTGGGTATACGCGCAGTAATGGGACTGCTTTTACCTGTGCCAAAATACTGAAGTAGAAATGATTATTCACTCTAAAATGGAAGGTAATAAGATGTATACGTGAGCTATCAGATGCCTGGTGCTTATGAGTGAAGACAAGTCTGTCCAACGCTTCCCAACCCTGCATTCAGGGATGTCTCGTTGGCATCTTGATTATGGCCATGAAAAAAGAATTTACGTCAAGGAAATTGGTAAATGCCACTAATCATAGCATTTCAAAAAATGTCTTTTTCAGAATTAGCATACCATTGGGTCGTGACTTCAAATGCCAGTGTGTTGATTCCAGGTGGTGATATTTCAGGAGAAACTACACAGATAGCATCTGATAAGGAGGGAAGAGCTCATAGGGTCCACACAGGAGGTGAGGGCATCACGGTGCATTTATCTTTTCCTGGTCGGACTCTGATCTTCTCCCGTTGAATTAGTTCCTAAACCAGGTGCGGAACTCTGAACTGAAGACATGAAGACCCAGTAAAGTACACCAGGAAGTGTGGCAATGAGAAATGAAGAGGACTGTGTGACACGCCATGGACCAGAGCATGCAGGTGTGCAGAGGTGTGGACCCAACGCTGCCATGTGGGATGGAGCCTCATGTCTAAGTGTGGGAAAAGAGGCAGATCCAACCAAGGAAAGTCAACATTAATGGAGAGGAAAGGTATCACATTTTAATGGTTCTCCATGGATCACCCCAGAAAATGTCCCTGCACTCGGACATTGATTCCTTCCTCTGGAAATGACCAGCAGACAGTCCAGATAGCATCGGCCCTAGATTTTCTTCCAGAACCTCCTGGGATCATCAGATCTGTTCCTGAGGCTTCACGACTCTATAAAGTACATTATCCTCTCTGCTGTTCACCTCCCGGCTGCATCTTGGGAAGCTTCTCTGGCTGTGCCAAGCCTCAAATGACAGAATCCCGAGGACCACCAGGATCAAGCCAGCCACGCCCATGTGGATGAGATTCTCCACTGCGTAATCCTGAAGGTGTGAGGCTGGGGATGGTGGACAAAGAGGTCACAGAGGTCAGGGTGGATCAGATTGTCCACCCAGGGCACCCACCTCCCCTTCACAGGACCCAACCCTCAGTGCCAGCCCCATCACTGAGAGTATCTCCTCACATACCAGTCTCAGAGTCAGACTTGTTTTGTGATGGGCTGAGGGTATCAGCTGCTCCAGAGAATCAAAACAGAGAAAAAGAGACCTGAGCCCAGCCTCTCACCTGGGCTCTGCAATTTTTTTTTTATTACTTAATGTCTCATGATGTGACTTTTACAGAATTTCTAAAAAAAAAAAAAAAAAACCTCTTCCTCCGCTAGCAGGATTCCCTCTAGTCTCCTCATTGAACGATTTCAGTTTTCCTGTGTTCTATGGATTTAAACATTGCTCCTGAGTCATCTGGGAGAGAGTTTTCCTGCATCCTGAGAGCTCAGGATCTGCAAGGAAAGTGGTCCCCAGTACAGAGGTCACTAAGGCCTGTGTGCTCTCTGTGCAGCCTGGGACACAGGAGAACATGAGCCAACTCCCCCGGAGATGAGAGTTTCACGGATCCACCAGCTGAGGACCCAGGCTCCGTGGATGAGGGTTAGTCATCAGGGGAGCCTCAATGTCAGAAGCACAAAGGGGTGAAATTCTGGGGCTGCCTCCCCTTCATGCCCTCAGCCACTTCACCTGGAGTTTCATTGTCCATTTAATCTCTAGGTAGCTAATTATTCGTATAGGCAGCAACAGGTAGAATGTGATACACACACAGAAAAACACAAACACAAATATATATCTGTTTTATATATATAGTGGGCCTTAAAAACTATCTCTGCCTTCTTGAAGTGTGGGTTCACCTGGAGACAAACAGCAAACATATAGAAACACAGCAGTGGAAATTTACTAGTCGTAGCAATGGTTTTAGATATATTGGTAGAGACCTATATTTATGTGTGAATATATATTATTTGTATAGATATACGGATAACTAGGTTTCAATGTCACGTAAGATGTTGGTGTGACCACACACGCGCACACACACACACACACGTATATGCAGAGAGTGGAAGAGAGAGAGAAGGAATTCAGCCGCATGGTGTAGGTTGGTTAATTACTTGACATAAATGAGAAGCAGGCAGGACTGGGCTGAGCTGTGTCGTCAGTGAAGGTCACACTTGGAGGTGACATTGAAGCTGATTCCTCAATAGGAAAAAGGGCCAGGAAGGAGGCGTGTGGAGACCCAGACAGGGAGCAACAGAGGCTCCAGAAAGAGCAGGTCCCAGAAAGGTCTCAGCCTGTTCTTCAGAAAGGAATGGCCGCTTGTCTACAGGGTGGAGGAGGAGGCAGAGGAGGAGGGGAGATGAGCTTCGGGGCCTTGGTGGATTGAGAATAGGCCAGGATGAACCGGCCAGGAAAGAGCGGCCCCAATATCTCTCTCTCTGTCTCTCTGTCTCTGTCTCTGCCTCTCTCTCCCTCCCTCTGAGGTCTGGAAAGTGCTGTAGGGTTTCAAGGAGTGGTACCAGTCATTTGACTTTTTCTGAAAAGATAAGCCCTACCCCCTCCATAGCAAATGTCCAGAACGAAGGAAGTCCACATTTCTACCTGAAGTTTACAAAACCTCAGGGAGCACGTGAGATCAGGGCTATTACGAAACCGGGTGAGAATAAAAATAGGTGATGCTGCAAATCTACTTTCACCAGCTTGGACAAAAAGGCCAATATGAGATTTTAAAAACCCAAATAAAAAATGTCAACGGCGCAGAAGAGGAGCGGTGCACATTCCCTGAGCTGCTGCGGGAGCACGTGCAAGTCCCTGTGAGGCTCAGGTGTGCGCTGAGTGCTGGGGAGGCTGCAGGGGAAAGCAGGAAGTGGGGCGGGGTGGGGGGGGGTCGGGGGTGGATGCAGGTGGCACCGGCAGCCTGGATGCTTCTCTCTCCAGGAGGGCGTCTGTTGGGGACTGGGACACAGAGGCTCTGATTCTGAGGTGGAGACACCAGGATGGGAGCAGGTGGGGCCTCCGTCTTCCACCCTCAGTCTAATCTCAACTCCTTTGAGGTTCACCCCCCGTCTCCTCCCAGCCCTCCCTGCACTTTACTCTACTGAGACTTCAGGGGTGGGAGCCAGGGGTGGGAGGTCCCTGTCTATTTCCATCTTCCCATGGGCTGGACCCTCCCCTGCGGACCCTCTCCCTTCACTCCCCTCTTTCCTTAGTGTCCAGAGCTCTGCTGGGGGCAGGGCCTGAGCTGAGCCTTTGAGCTCAGAGAGGACAGGGTCAGCGCCCTCACCTGAGACCACGAGCTCCACGGGGCCACTGGGGTGAGACAGCAGGTAGGGGTCGGAGCTGAGTGAGCCGTAGCACCTGTAGGTCCCCGTGTGGGCTGAGGTCACAGGACTCATGGGGAATTC